>NC_000006.12:68974018-69277048 GCF_000001405.40 Homo sapiens | reverse complement strand
ACTCCAGCATGGTGACAGAGCGAGACTCCATCTAAAAAAAAAAAAAGGAAAAAAAAAAAGAAAGACTATAGTAATGGTTTTGTGTTCTTTTTTAAAAACCATTTTATGGAGGTATGGTTGACAAATAAAAAGCTGTACATATTTAATGTATACAATTTGATGAGTTTGGAGATAAGCATACACTGTGAAACCATCACCACAATCTACACCATAAACATATCCATATCCGTCACCTCAAAAAGTTTCCTCTTACATCTGTACTATAAAGGAGCATGCTCCATAAGGCCAAAAGGTACTCAGAATGGCAAGTGACGAAAGGAGGAAAGGAGAGGTGGGCTAACTTCACACTATCTGCACCCTGTTCGTTTATTCATTCTCAGAAAAGCCCTGAGATCATCCACTGGTGGCTGATGAAGACCTTGGAAAGCCCTTTCCTGAGCCCGGGGGAAAAAAAGGTCAAAATGAGAAGCACTTCACATATTGTAAATGTGTATTTAAAAAAAGAAACAAAAAGTGGAAAACCTTGATGGGAATTTATTTGATCATTTCTTTCTTGCAGGGATTTCCTTCCTCCCCACCTGCCCTGTAGCATTTTTAATTTTAGATTGATTCAGATATGGAATGACTTATATTTGAGAGGTTGTTTATTTGCTTCCTGTTAAAAACTTCTTGGAATGTCTCCTGACCACAGACTGAATTCATAAGATTGCTTATTTTAATTTCTTCTCTATTTGGCCTTTTGCTGATATCTGGATACTAAATGTCATTTGTGGATGTGATTAACATGGTTCAAATTTCCTACTTCCTGATGGTATCCACTCTCTCTTCCTAAGCATAAATGGAGACATTTCACAGAAATACGCTAAATTCCAGATGTTGTAGAATTCCAGGAGAATCCTCTTTGCAATCCAAAGTAATTCATTATTATTCTTTCTATAGTCTTGCTGAATTTTTTACCTTATGAGAAAGCCCAAAGTTTATGCCAAGTTTGAATGAAGTGAAAAGTTTATTATTTAATAACATCCAAAGAACTTAGTAAATGTTTAGTTGCATGGAGATGCAGCAATTAAAGGAAAAGAGGAGAATGGCTAGGCCTAGAGCCACCTTATAGCATGTATGTTTGGACATGGCTTTTTTAAAAAAACAAATATCTGATGGATTCTCCTTTCCTCCAGAAAGAACTGGCCCTTGAAATTCAAGAGAAATTCCATTAGTCTCAAAACACTCAAGAGGCTATCATAAGTAAGTATTTTCACATACTCCCATGTACTGTGAAAATATCTACTAGTCTAATAAAATTTTTAGAATTATACCTAGTACTGGGCATTATTTGATATATAATGTTTTTTTTTTATATTATGTCCTCTATAACAAAAATATATTTAAAAAATGATGCAATAACAGATCATTGAATTTATTTTATAGGAGACTTTTTTGCATGTGTATTATACTGGTGTCTGGATCATATATTATGATTATATAATATGTATTTTTATGTCTTGATGAAAAGAGGAATAATAATATAATTATACATAATTAATCTCAGCTACTGCCTCCTCCAAAACAGTGAAGTTAAAAAACGCCTTGCATAAAAACTGTAGTTAAAATCTCTAGGCCAATGAGGAATCACAGTTGCTAATACTGTAACATTTCTTCCTCCCTCCTTTCCTATTTTTCTTTTTAGTTTTTTTAATGCAAATAATCTTAGACTTGCAAATATTTTTCTTCTAAAGAATTTTAGTTGGAATAAAGATGAAAGAAGAAACTATAAAGTCATGAAAATTCAAACTGTGAAGTACCTTTGAATTTTAAATAAGTAATTGAACCTATTCATTGTAGTCCATCTGTGAGATTCTGGGAAGGGGTAATATTAGTCAGATCACAATGCTCTCAGCATCTCAGCCCTACATCATAGACTTGGAAAATATACTAGAGGCACGGGATATTAACCCTCAGCAAAGCCATGCTATATCAAAATGCTCCCTTTAAAAATTTCTGTTCTATCTTTCCTTGGGTGGGCTGTGGTAGGGGGCCAAACAATTCTCCTCTAAACCAAGAGGATGGGTAATATTTAATAATAGAATCCACCAAATGAAAAATCCTAAACAGGGATGAGGAGGGTTGGGGAAGCACAAATAGTACATCAGTACATTTCTAAGACTCAGTTTCATTCTTTGGCCAAGTTTCCATTGATGTTTTATTGCCGTTCTGCACAGACCCTCCTTCAGCAAGAAGCAGATGGAAAGAAAGAGGTAAGAAGGCCTTTAAGCACCTTATTGTTGCCTGATTGCTTCTTTCAGAGCCAGTCTTTCAGTGCAGCCTCATTTTTCCCACTAGACTTAACTTTCTGTTTTCACTGGAATAAAAAGAAAAAAGAAAGGAAGAAAGGGAAGAAGGGAAGAGAAGGAAGGAAAGAAGGAAGGAAGGGAGGGAGGGAGGGAGGGAGGGAGGGAAAAGGGAGGAAACGAATAAAGGAAGGACACAAGGAAGGAAGAGGGAAGGAAGGAAAGAAGGAAGGTAGAAAGAAGGAAGGAAGAAGGGAAAGAAGAAAGGGAGGGAGGGAGGGAGGGAGGAAGGAAGGAAGGAAGGAAGGAAGGAAGGAAATGCAACCACCAATGTGAGAGACAACCTTTTTCTCAGTACAAATTATCTGCCACGTGCTGTCCGCTGCTTCGGTAATGAACTCTAACATTCTTTATTTCTTGGCATGAACACTGAAAGGTAAGATGTTTAGCTGTTTGTGACCTGAGGATTGAAGGGTAAAACTCACAAAATTGGTTTGGCTTAGAACCCAAAGACTTTTCCCAGAGGTGAAAGGTTTGTGTATCGGCATAGCAAACATTGATTTTTGTTTTTCCTTCTCAGAAATTTTAAAGTGTAACTTGGAACTGAGAACACTTCAATGTATAGGTAATCTTTTCATCTTCTTTAGCTTGTTTTGCTCAAAATGCCTATTTCAGCTTCTTTTAGGTTTAAATAGAGATTTGTTGATCTTGGATGTCTCTATTCACATTTTTCCCCTACCTCCTGAAGACATCCACTACCACCACACTCCCACACCAATTCTCATATAGACAGATCAGCTTCCAGAGCTATTCTTTTTATTCCAGTGTTTTGTTTTGTTTTGTTTTTTTCTAACTACACCTCAGGTGGCTGCTGACTGGTGAGAATTTACCCCCAGTGACAGATTGTTTTCTAGAATAGTAGTCCATATGGCGGAAACATAGAGGAAAGCTCAGTAGACCACAGATCCCCTCTCCCACTAGCAGCAGTAGAACCACATTGCATCTGAAGTCCCTGTAAACCTTCCACAACTGTTCAAGGTTGTCTTGTTTTTCCTCGGCATTACTGGTTTTACGGAGGCACACAAAGAAACTTGAAAGCTGCTACATCATTAAGTGTTTAGCATGTAAACATTCCCAAAATGGACCTACAAAGAAAATGATGGAAACCAAGGGATGAAAGTGCTTTTGATTCTTATAGTTCCTAATCTCAATTCCAGACTTTATCCTTTCACACCCAGTCCTAACTGTTGACATGAGTTTTAAAATTATTGAGAACTACAAAGAGCCAACACAAAGGATTTCCAGATCCATAATATAATCTACTTGGAGCCAGATTTTCCATTTACTAGATTGCATGAATTTGTCTTTTTTACCATGCTGTGTGTGGCCAATAAAATCACTAGTCTACATGGCCACATTTTTTAAGACAGGAGAAGTGATTTTGATATATGGAATTTAGATGCCTTCCCATTTGCAAACAGTAAACTTCCGCTAGCAGAACCCTACTAGAACTAACACTCACAGAAGTGAATTTTTATGGGAGAGAATTTAGACTGGTAATAGGGCCAGGCGCAGTGGCTCACACCTGTAATCCCAGCACTTTGGGAGGCCAAGGCGGGCGGATCACCTCAGGTCAGGAGTTCAAGACCAGCTTGGCCAACATGGTGAAACCCCGTCTCTACTAAAATTACAAAAATTAGCCGGGCATGGTGGCACGGGCTTGTGGTCTCAGCTACTCGGGAGGCTGAGGCAGGAGAATCGCTTGAACTTGGGAAATGGAGGTTGCAGTGAGCAGAGATCACGCCATTGCACTACAGCCTGGGCAAAAAGAGCAAAACTCCATCTCAAACAAAACAAAACAAAAATGGTAATAAAGCAAATAGATAAAGACATCTCAGACTTATGGAATTATTCAAAACTTATTTATTATAGGCCTGGCTCAGACTAGCTGCCAGGGAACAGGCAAGCCTTTCTCTGCTGCCCAAAAGCACCAATCCCTTTACAGCTACCCTACTTGAGAAGTCATCATCTCTTGTGTCTGTTGTAACAGACTTATACTTTGTTTCTCTATCCCTAATCTCTCCTTATTCTAATTCATTCCTCACATTTTAGTCAATTTTGTGTTTCTAAAGTAGAGTTCTCATCCAACATTTTTCTTTTTTTACTATAACATTTAAGGCCCATCTCAATCCAATTCCAGATTCCTCCTTTACTTTCCCTATACATTTTGTGTTGGAATTGCACTGCAATGCTAATTATTGTCTACCCAGTTATGTCTTTTTCACTTGGGCAAATTTTATTTATATGTCAAATACTTTTCTAATTTCATGTCCTCCATGAAATTTTCTCTAACTTTTCCTTTCCATTCTTTTGTTGTGCAGAATTATTTCCTTCCTTCTCTCTTGAGCTGGACAATAACCACGACACTGCATTCTAATTATCTGCTGACCTGCCCATCTCCTCCAGGGCAGGGAATGAAAACGATTTGTTTCTGAACCCCTAGCACCTTGTGAGGGGCAAGGGATGAAAGAAAGAGGAGTTACAAAAATAAATCTCAGGACCTATCCCAAATGCAGATGGAAATTTCTACAACTATTAGGACCAATTGTTTATATGCCTATCAATTGTCCAGGAGGTATGTGTGGGTGCAGCGTGTGCATGTGTGAATCTGCATGTTTGCTCTTTTGTTTTACATCATTTTTGTTAAATTCTTTGTTATTTTTAACTATTTTTTGCCCTAATGTGTTTGGAATTTTCTTGTGAGCTACTTTTTATTTTTCAGATAATTTGAGATGGATGGTGTATACAACAATAAGAAATGGTACCTTTCTACACTGCAATTTTATAAGCAAGGAAAAATTCGTATGTTTTTAATATGCTGTACTTACTAAGGAAGAAATAAACTTTTATATTTAAGAAAGCAAAAAACAAACAATAAGGCTAAAACAAAAAATCTGAATAAACAAATATTAACTATAACATTTCATCCTGTAATTGGAAAGGGGTGTGTCTGTGTGTGTGTGTGTTTTCATGAACTTTCAAGTGCAAATGAGATACAGAGAGGGAGAAAGAGACAAAGAGAGAGATACTAAGTATGTTTACATTTCTGACTTAGAACAAGTTAGACAATATGTTTTAAATGAGATATCTTTAAATAGAAAACAATTCAGAATAACATGCTACATAATTAAGGGAACTTGGATGCCTACTGGTTGATTTACAAACACATTACCAAAAATATTATCTGTAAGCAGAAAAAATCTAGATGAATGCATTTTAAAAACTTTAATTTTCTCCTTTTTGACCTTAGGTGTATCAATATTGGATTAATCTTAATACTTCATTTATGAAACTATCTTATCATTGATCTATGCATCACTCTCTTTTTAATTCACTGAGCCATTCATTTATTGAATGTAATAATGTAACATTCATTTACCCACAACTCAGCCACCTGATACAAAAAATAGAGCCTTGAAAATATCTTATATATATCCATCTGTCCTCTGCCAACCAGTCCTCTCAGCTCTCTCAACCTGTGGTAACCACCATCCTGAAAACCATGTTAACTGTGCCCTGCTTTCCTTATCGTTCAGCTTTGTTTCATATTTACATATTCTCACAGTTATTCCATCCTATGGCTAAAGACTGCTTTTCTTATTTTTAACAGAACAATTCTGGAGAGTTTTTCCACTAATGACACATTTTATAACTTTCCCAGTTTAATGCAAATTATTATATTTTTATGGTAACTGAGCATTTAAAGGAGAATATTGTCCACTGATCTAAAATCAATGAAAAGCACATTGTCATACTACCAATTCAATGGGTTGTTTGAAAAAAATGCTTATTCTATATAAGTTTTTCCCTTTAAAATATTGCTGGTCACATATACCATAAAATAGTATAAAAACAAGAACAAAAATATGTGGAAAATCAACTTAAATTTATACATATCACTGATTTAATTTGTGTGTTGTATTAAATGAACCTGGGGAAAATGTCATTCTTAATCGAACAGCAGGGTAGTGAGTAGAATTAGAGATCCCAGCCTCTGTGATCTGTTATATGATTATGGCTTAAGGTACAAATCGTTACTTAAGGGGACTATGTGTTTGATTGACTCAATATATTTGAGGTTTTACTCAGTCTTTACAGACTTTAATTTCCTCTTCAGTAAAATGTATTTAATCAGCTTCATTTTCCTTAAAAGAACAATTTGATTATTTTTATAGATTCTTTCAAAATAGTATATAGTGTTATTTTCTTTTCTCAATATTAAAGCCTTATAGACTGGTAAGTCTTATAGTTAAAATATTTATAATTTCATTTTAATCATGCTTACAAGTTTCCTCTTGAAACTAAGCTCTCTAAAATTCACATGAGAGACACTGGCCAAATAAGAACTGATGTTTAAAAGAGCAGAGGAAGTACACCAAATCCCAGTGTTTCTCTCTGTGACATCCTTTCTTCTTGTTGCTGTGTTACCAACAGTATGTTCATTTATAATTAATTCATTTAACTGATGATAAATGTACTTGACATTCTGTACCAAAAGCTCTAGTCATGGAAAGCCTGGTGATCTAAAAACCATTTTTGACGAGAATTCACTGCTGGAAGTCTAATATTAAAATGTCAGCCATAGTGGAGAAACCATGCTCATTAACTGAAATAAACCCATCCCACAAACTCCAAAAAGTGCCACAGCCATGCCTGCAACTCTGATGAGCCAAGGTATAAAGATGAGAAACATTGTACTTTATACACTTATGTTATAAAAATATTTCCCTTAATTAATGAAATTGCTTTCAAGTATCTAATTTTACATTTTTACTAATGTGTTAATACTACAAATGTTTGTAATATTTGATGGAAGAAGGATTTTGTATGACAGTAAAGTATAAGGTAGCTTTTACAATATTTAATTTGTTTTTCAATTTCTAAAGGAAATTATGATACAGGAAATCCTATTTGATAAAACTAAAGTATCAAGAGTATGACAGGCAAACTAAATAAACCATATGGTAATAATAAATTTCACTTCTTGGTTCACGTTTTAGTCGTTACCTATGAAATCATATGATATTATAAACTAATTATTGCTGTGGGCACATCAGTCACGATATTATTTTATTTGAAATGTAAAGAATTTAGTGTTAGCATTGACTCCCTTAGAAATAACAAGGCTTACTGGTAACAAAAGAAATAAAAAAATTATTTGATAGATATGCATTTATGCAATTCAAATTCTGATTAAAGGGAACTACTTGAAGTATAACTAATTTTGAACATGCAACTACAAGCACAAACCACTTTATTAAAATAAACATACAAGCTTAGCTCAAATTATAGGAGATATTATCATTTTAAGATAATTTTTTTTTACATTGGACACATTTGTAAATGTTTGAAATTTTTAATGTTTTTTTCTCTGAAAATGAAGTATCAAAAAACACCTGTTTTCAATGAAGTCTTTATTCAGGTTTCATTCTGAACAAACACCTCTGTATTTTGTTTTAACTAAGAATGTTGTTTCTGGAATTGGACAAACCTAAGTTCAATACTTGATTCTGACTTGTACTAGTTATATGACCTTGGGCAAGATATTTAACATTTGTAGGTTTCAGCTTCTGCGTTTCTAAAGGGGAGGATGAAAGAACCAACTGTATTACATTGTTTTGAGGTGTAAATGTGATGATTTATATAAAATGCTTAGTATAGTGTCTTGCACAAAGTAAATGCTCAATAAATAATAAATAAAAGAATAATATTTATGATGATTATTATAAAGAGTAGAAGTAGCAGTAGCAGTAGTCCAAAGTGCACTTGTGAAACATTTGAACCAAAAAGAACCTCCTTGATCATCTGCTCACCTCATTTTATGGGGGAAAACATCAAGGCCCAAAGAAAGCACTCCAGCCATTAACCAGTCCTGCCCCTAGACCCGGCCAGCCCATTTTGGAGTGGGCAACACAGGGAAAGTAGTGATAAAGTCAAGGTGAAAAGAGGCTTTTCTCTAATGAACAGAGAGTAATCATGAATGACAGAAGAGCAAAGTTAAATGAATTGATTGATTTCTCAGAAAATCAATGTGAAGTTTCTACCCAAAGAACTGCTTCCATGCTGAGAACAAGGGGTCTTATGGCCTGAGAAGTAAAGGGCTCAGGCCCCCAGGCCAGAGTATGTCAATACTTTTGTGTAGATGCCTTAAATGCCCTAGGAGCCTGAAAGCAAATCATCCCTCTGGCTGCCTTAAAATGTTAGAGAGGTCATCTTGTCAAAGCGGTGATTGCTTAGAGAGAAGTCTAATAGGAACAGCAATAAATTCAACTGGATATAATGTCAAAACTGTTTAATGTAATACATTGGATCTGACTTCCTACTCATCCCAAAAGAAGCAGGTTCTTTGAGGGGACTTAGCTCAGCAATAATGCCCAAGAAAATAACACATAGTCATTTCTTAGCTTTCAAATAATTCTATTATTAACTTGGATTTCAAAATTATAATTGTGAATTACGAAAACATAAAATATTATACTTGCACATTATAAAAACACATTGGAAAAATTATATGACAAATTTCTGTAATTATTTATCCAAATATTATCACTGTACTATTCAATTCCCTGTGCATTGTTTTCAAGATTGTATTATCTTTCTATAGACGAGAATACATGCTGAATTTTTCTAGGTTTCTTCAATCCAGCTTTTTTCCACAAAATTAATAAATATGGGAATGCCTCTGCTCTTAAAGCCCTATAAGCAGAAACTAGAAGAATTTTAAGGAACAAATCGTGCCTGACATGTGGGCCACACAAAAAGTTCACTGAATTGCTAGGTGTCATGATCAGAGCCATTGAAACAGGAAACTGGAAACCGGGAGGGAAATCTGATGCTTTTGCTCTGTAGACAGCTTTTCCCAAGATGTCGGGAAAAAACTCAATATCATAAGTCTCTTACTCCTCTGAATACCTGCCTTCTTCACTTGGCAGGGTAATGTAATTAAAATTTTGTAATTAGTAGCTTCTGCTGGTAACTTGAAACAACCTGACCAAGAGGTACTTTGATATCCATTGGTGAATAAGAAAATAGGCCACATGGTTATAACAGATTTCATCTAATTCCCTATGGTCATTTGATTTGTTCAATTGGTTGTCTTTCAGCCTAGGTTCATAGCTCAAAACTGTTAGACAAACTGGGATTGCCTGCTAATATTACTTTGTATTTTCCCTTTTTAAACTCTGCATCTTTTACTTGTTAGATTTTTGCAGAAGCACAGATTTTAACAGACTAATGCTAGCTCAGTACTTTTGATGATGGGAGAAGACTATGGAACACACAATACTGAAATTAATAATGGACTCCGGGTAGCCTGAGAACCACTCCCTTCAAATCTGTCTTGTAATTCAAATGTGGCTTAAAGGGTTTTGACACTGACTCCTAGCTGTCAATCACTCCCCATAATGTGGGACAAGACCAACAATTTGGACAGGTCCATCTTAGCACTGTGGAACATCAGAAACTAACAACAGCAAGATTGACCAGTGATGCTTTATGAGAAAGATCTTGATCAAAAGGGGGAAATGTGAAAATTGTCAGAATCAATGTAGAGTTGCAAATGTTAAAAACAAAAAAATTTAAAAAAAGCCTCGCCCTGACAAATAGACAAATAGAGTTGGGGAAAGCTATTAAGAGAGGGTTCTTACGCTTGTATGCCTAATAAAAACTATTACAGAAGACTCTGAAAATCATAATCTTGCACAAAGGGCATCACGACCTTATACAAAAAATACTTCTGCAAGGACACTGCGGAGCAATTATCTGTACAACCTTAGACTGGTATCACCCTTGTTATTGATCTTTGTAGCCAAGGATAATCATTTCAAAACAATTATATAATTATCCTCATTTTTCTTTTTAAAAATCTTTGTCTTCCTTTACCTTTCTGAATATGCATGTAGTTTACTATGGCATGCAGATTCCCATTGCAATGCTCTATCTCCAAATAAACATCATTTTCTTTTACATAGTCTCTCTCTGTTTGTTGTTTTGGTAGACAATTTATATATAATCAATATATTTGTGTGTATGTATGTGTGTATATATCTGTGTATGCACACATACAGATATGTGAAGTGGCTTTTAAAATAGTCTAATAGGAAAAGATTATAGGGTATATTACTAAACTATAACATTGAAACTGGTGAACAGATTAATACCCTAAATAAATAGTACAAATGGCTCTTATTATCTGTCATAATAAATCTTTTGTGGACAGAGATTAGCTTTTTGTGCTAACTCTCTAGAAATAGTAATTTGTATTAGGTCTCAAGGGGTATTTTCTATCCATATCTAACTGAAGCTTCAAGAGACTTGAGGCTATTTTCCCTAACTCTGGCAAAGTGCACATAAACATTGAAATACTAACATAGGTTCCTTTGAACTAAAGAAACCATGCTAAAACATGCAGATTTTGTTCTTTGTCCATTACTGTCAATAAGAGATAATTAACACCCTACATCATCCTTTGACGATACATATACAAATATCTAATTATTACCTTTAATTATTAAGTAAATATTTCATGTTACTGGCTGTGAACCATATTTTTCTTCTTTACTCCTTTTAAAGAATTATCAAGCAGAATAAAACCAAAATAATAAAACTTATTGACATAAAACATTGCCCTTTCAAAAAACAAACAAATAAAATCCCACAACACTGTAAGAAAGCTCTTGTAAGTTCTCCTTTATCTTAATACACTTTCTGAAAGAATTCGAGTGATTTGAATCTTTTCTGTAATTTTTTTTCAGTTAGTAAGCATGTAAAGAATGAGCATGGGATGAAGCAGAGACTGAGGTAAACAAACTACATTTTCCTTGAAAGAGTCATTTGTCTTCTACAGATGAGCAAGTTATTACTGAGGGAGGGCATTTTGCTTACCTCAGTCCATCACAGATCTGGGTTAAGCTAATTGAAAATATGCTTCAGGACACATGTAGAGACAGCATTTGGGGGAAATAGAAAGATAGAAACAAAGTGGCCAGGAGCAATTCTATTTCTAAAATTAGCCAATGACCTCAGGACTTTAAGATATTACAATAGAGAAGAAGTATTTTGGATTTTTTACAAAGTTGGACCAAAATTATTTCTTTATTTTTGGAACACGTAATTTGGTAACTTTCCATCTAAATCAAATTCAATTTAGAGGCTTTCACAATTAAGTTAAATTCTAATCAAATTGAGAGATTTGGGTGCTTTAAGAAAATCATATAAAGTTGGGCAGCTTCCCCATATGGAACATGGGGGATAAGAACAGGACCTGCAAGGTTGTTTAAATGTGGGATCAGTTTTAGTCAGACTAATAAAGAGTTTTCTTGTGGACGGGGGCTAGGGGTGGGATGGTGCTATGTAAAGACATTTACATTTAAAAATAGCTATTTCATCTGAGTCAAATCATCCCTGTTCACCTTGTAAGGTCTATTACAAGCTCTGTGACTCAATTCTAGCTGCATATGAGCATCACTTGTGACAATTTTTACTACTCTGGTTCCCTGAACTCACCCTCCAAAATTCTAATTCAGTGAATTTCATGGTTGATTTTCAGGACTCCCAGCTTTAAAAAGCTCTATGGGCGATTCTGATGAGCAGCCAGGATTGAGAACCACTGTATAAGGCAATGTTCCACTTTATTTGTTCCTATCTAAAGGTTATTATCTAGATTTCAGTAAGAGAATTTGCACGTATGTGTGTGTCTTGGTTCAGGGCATGTGAAGGGAGGTAAACAGAGAGAGAGAAAGAAGGCTAATATTTTGAACAGTGATCTTTCTTGGGAATAAACCAATGGGACTATATTTCTTGAACAATGACTCAGACTTTCCAGAAATTTAATGCATCAATAAAATACAAAAATGAACAAAACCCTGAGAGTATTGTAGAATAGCTGGTTTACAGACAAATAGATACACTTTTTTTTTCTCAGTAACTGTGTAAATATGTTTTTGTAATGTTGAAAAGAACTCTCATTACAATTCATTTCTGAAGTTGTTCTGTATTCTATAGGATAAGTTGGTGGGGGTGTGGAGTGAGTTTGGGTGAGACTCGTTCATAGGTATATTTCTGAGAAGACCTAGAGCGAGAATGCAAGTCTGAGTCCAAGGAGGATAATCAGATAGTATGTGCAGCACTATAATAGCTTTGGTAGTCAAATACTCAAGTTATTGCACAAATCTAAATAAATAAAAAAAAAAGGAGATGAGAAAGACATGCCTGTCTAGTGGGAAAGAAGGTTTTAGCATAAAGAAGAATAGAAAAAAAAAGTATAAAAGATATAGCTAAGAAGACAGGGTAATAAAACCAGAGGAGGAATTAGAAAGAATAGATTTTCAAGACTGGCAGGTCAGGTTAAAACTGATCACACTGATAGTTTTTTAGCACGTGAAAGCAAAGACCTGCTGGGCTTGAAATAGCCATGGCGGTTTCTAGTTATAAATCTCCTTAGTCTGTAGATCACAGATATCCTAGTTTTATTTAACTTTCATGCTTCAAGTGAAATAAATTTCCCTAGAGAGTTTCCTTCTCACCTTGTAAATTGTCTTTTTCAAGAAATTTTAATTGGATATAGTTTTCTCCTAGTGTCTATCTTTGATTTGGTAAAAAATGAGGATAAGGAGTGAATAAGGACAGCAATACATGTATCCATCTATGGATGAGTCATTTCTGTCCTTTTATCCTTTTAGAATTTGGACTTTGGAATTAAACTACCTATTATGAGATGTAAGGATATGTACTGAGTAGAAGGAGTATGTTAAATGTATATAGAACATATTGAAATGAAGTTTACCTGAGGGTTAAATAACTGGAGGAAGCTGAGTTTTGCTCGGCTCTGCTGCTAATCACTGTATTTGCTTTGATCAACCCTCTATGTCTCAGTTTCTTCATTTGTAAAATGAGAGGTGTGAATAAAGTTAATCATTAAGACTCCCTCCAACAACATTATATGAGTTACTGTGAGATAGTACATGTCTCCCTTAGCATTTGATCTGCCTGAAATTTTACTTCCCCATGAAGCCTCCCCAAATTAATCCAAAAGCAAACACTGACCCTCCCACATTTAAGACAGACTTGGAAATTCAAGGGCTGCAGTTTTCAAATTTAGCCTCAGTTTCTAAGCATTAAGTTAACATATGCAAGACTTGCACATGAGGCAAATATGACACGTGTTTCTGTTAGATTATTGTGGCTTCCAGAGCATACTGTCCAACACTGTGCTGTTAGGAAACCTGAATGATGCTTAACAAAGACAGTGATTGCACTCATGAGTCATCAACTTTCTTGTGTCAAAATGCAAAAGTCATTTAGGTGCCATCATGCGAAAATATCTCTTCTTACCATCATGATTTTTGGAAGAAAAACTTGAGAGAAATTTTCTGTATCATCACCAATTATATATCTGAAATATAGTATATGAATGAGAATAAGGATTTGTATTCCCTGTGGACATCAATACTAACATAAAAAACATTCACTGATGTCAGTGTCAGTTCTGCAAAAATTAACATACAAAGACGGAGTTCCTTCATGTCTTTGTCTTACAGACAGTGAACTGAAGGAAGTCATAACAAAGTGGTGTTTATTGCTTCCTTTAATATCTCTTGAGAGCCACTTTTTAATGAAGATAAATTATACCTACAGGTAACCTCAATTTTGACCTTTACTTTTCAATAAAGAGTCAGATTCCTGAACTCTTTCCAGTGAAGCAAATTTAAAATGGTTCCTTTTTGCGGAAATGCAACATCTATTTTTAGAAAACGCTATATGTAAGGTCTCAAACACACTACAGTACTCCTCCTTTATGGGACGGGAATATGTTTTAAGACCCTCAGTAGATCCCTGAAAACCTAGATACTACCAAACCCTATCTATAATATTTTTTTTTTATGACACATACATACCTATGGTAAAGTTTAATTTATAAGTTAGGCACAGTAAGAGATTAACAATAGCTAATAAAATAAAAGAAGAATTGTTACAATATACTGTAATAAAATTCCTGTGAATGTGGTCTCCTCTCTCTCTCTCTCTTTCAAAATATCTTACTTTAACCACTGGTAACTGGAACCGCAGAAAGTAAAACCAGAGACAAAAGAGGGAATTATTGTATCATGCTTGAAACACAATTGTTAGAATTTTCATATGGGGTTGGAGAGAAATATTGAGAAATTGCCAATAAATGATAGGTTTTTGAAAACATAGGAGAATTGGAAGTAACATGTCATGACTGTGGTCCTAACCACCCACTGAGAGAAAAGCATTTATGTTAGTAAGGAAGGAATTGTTACTAATAAGAGCAAAGGGAACAAGGATGAAGAAAAAAATAAAACCTCCTTCTCAAAAGTATTTGAGTTTCACATGCTTTCAAGTTTGCCTATCTCTTTACTGAGTGACTTTCAGTCCAAGGTGTCAAAAATTGAAATATGTTTAGAAAAAAACGAAACAAAGTGAAGAATTAAAAATAAGCAGGCAAATAAAATTATGCTTTTTCCTTTAAGATGTGATCGCTATGAACCATAGTGATACTCTAAGTACTGCTTTCTATAGCACAAACCAGAATTTGATATAAAGCCAGTATAGCTTGGACCTCATTCAAGGTGTGTTGATTCAAAGACAAGATAGGGATGACTATTTTCTGTCCTTTATGATACATTAAGATGCCTTTCTCTCCAAAAACATATGTATGTATTCACAAGAGATACAGAATTCATTAAAGGCAAAGCATGCTAATGTTGATTATGCTTGTAACCTGTTAATAAAGACAGACCCTCTAATCATAAATTAGACCTAAATTATTTTACAAAATATTATATAAACCTATTTTTATTCTAGTATTAATAAATAAATACCAATATCCATTGGAATTCTTAACGAACCTTTAGTTTTTCTGGTCATATTTCGGTATCTACCATAAAACTTTCCTTTGCTCAGAAATGTAAAAATGCTTTGGCCTTCATTTACAATTTGGATTACTGAAATAAGTACTATATAACATAAACCAAATATTTACCATGAATACCCAAATGTTACATATTATTGCACAAAATAGTTTAGAAGATAATTCTATCCCAAGAGACACAGGTTCATATTTATGCATACATTTATTCATTTAGGACTTTCTTATTTTATAATGTTTTTGAAAAAAAGTATAAAAAATGTCATATCAAACACTTGAATAATTTTACTGAGGCTCTACAATTTTCAAATAGATGAAATTAAATATACAGAAATTAGTATATTTATATAACAATTCCCATTACATTCAGTGGCCCCTGTATCCGTATTTTGGAGTGAAACCTATTTTCCCTTTCTTACATCTGATAGTTCTTCATTCTATATAAACTTAGATTCTAAAGAAGTATCTTGAAGTTTTTTCATTCTGCTTATAAAACCTACAAATCTCTTGCAAGCTGAACTTATGGCATTTCTGAAATTCTATCAGTTCTAACAGCTTGAGACCTTTTTCTTACAAAAACATGCCTTTCCCTGCAGGGTTCTGAAAAGTTTCCCAGCAACGCTCATTAAGAAAGGCCGCAGCTATAGATTAGCCTTGCTGCTACCATTTTCCTTGTATTTTTGTGTGTGACAATTTTCTATTCAATAGTGCAACTGCATATAATTATTCAAATACAAAAGCCTGTAGTAAAAAAATGTGGAGGTGATGATAAAAACATTGGAAAGCAAATGAACTGCTATGATTTTAGAAATAATTTTGTTCTTCATTGTATTTACTGAGAATTGCCATTAGGAAGGATCTTTGTGTAAAAGACTGAGGGCAGATTTGGTCCATTTGCAGAGAGATAATATTCCTAAATACAGTTTAGACTAGTTTAGATGTATAATAAACAAAACAATTCCTATCTTTAGTATATTAATGTATCATCAATAAACTGTGAAAAACTACAATGGCAAATGCTAATGTCCATATTTTAATCCCAGGACATAAGGAAATGAGAATATAAATAATAATTCTAGGATTCTCCCTAAGTAAGAATCCTGGAATCGTAGAGCTATATGGGAACTAAAGATGGTTTTTATTTAACCTTTACTAGCAGAGTCCAACTCTTTTCATACTCCACCCCAGACACCAAATATATACCCACATATTTCCATTCACTCTTAAGAAAACTGGTGTTGAGACAGGCTAGAAGACGTGCCCAAGTCATCTTTTGACTGGTGACAGAGTTAGGATTTGAGACAAGAACCATTTTTGCTATGCCAAGTTGACTCTGAAATAGCGTCTAGAAGGAAGTCCTAATATTAATACAAATTTAATACTTATTTCTGCTTCCAATGAGGGACACCACTTCCCTCACACTGCTTGAAGAAATGTAAATACACTTACAGCAGGGAGATCTATTACTTATTTGTGTCTGAATTATTGACTTCTGGAAGGTAGGACCCTATAACCTGGTGAAATGTATGAAAGTATATAGGTTTACCATGTAAAATCATAGACAAAATACTTTACCCAAAAGCCATTCTCATCCAGTCTGGTCTACTATGCATTCAAATGACATAATAAATTAATTTTTAATAGAAAATTGACTGTTAATGTGTTCCTCCTTCAAATCTTCGATTCCATCATAAAATGGAGAATTACCAAAATTAAAAATCTATAACTGAGCACAAATCACATCACATGTGCACACACACATAATTTTGCGTATTAAAACAGACTTTACACAAGGTATCCCTATGTAAAAATGGTTTTTGATTACATGAATTTGTGTTAAACAAAATTTTCTTTAAAAATTTTTGGCTAACTTTTCTCCTGTTGTTAATTGTAATTTTGTAGTTAGGCTTATTATAACCTACAAGGAAAGCTTACAGCTTAAAGAATTCAATTATTATTATTTTATTATTCTCTGATATATCCAATGTCTTTATATCTGAGTCCATTAATATTTTACATATTTGTTGAATTAAATGCTAAGATCTTATTGCGAATAGAGAATAAGGGGAAAAACCACAAACATTTTCATTTTAGAATTTTTTTTTTTTTTTTTTTTTTTGAGACAGAGTCTCGCTCTGTCACCCAGGCTGGAGTGCAGTGGCGCCATCTCGGCTCACTGCAAGCTCTGCCTCCCGAGTTCATGCCATTCTCCTGCCTCAGCCTCCCGAGTAGCTGGGACTACAGGTGCCCGCCACCAAGCCCGGCTATTTTTTTGCGTTTTTTAGCAGAGACTGGGTTTCACCGTGTTAGCCAGGATGGTCTCGATCTCCTGGCCTCGTGATCCGCCCACCTTGGCCTCCCAAAATGCTGAGATTACAGGCGTGAGCCACCGCGCCCAGCCCATTTTAGAAGTTTTAAGGTTAAAACTAACTACGTGTTATTGAACACCAACACGGGAGAAAATATTAAAGAAATGTAGTTGGAAGGCTGACAGAATTGGCAGCAACAAGGTTAATTATTGAAGACTTTTAAGCTCCATGTTACTTAAAATCATCCTTCTTGTAGGCCCAGCTTTTGCTGAATCTCATCTCCTTGGAGCTGAGAACTTGCATTAATTTACACCGTACTGACTCATTTTCTTATTAAGCAAATTCGAAAGGATATATTTTTGGCTTTGCTGGATTCCTGTCTTTTAATATCATGTGCTTTTCTCCAGGAAGGTCAAAGTGTTTAATATTAATCTTCATAATATTGCTGTGGTATATTCTTATCCTTATTTGACATGCAGTAAAACTGAGGTAAGTAGAAGATTACGTGGAATAGACCAACACAGGAGAAGTACTGACAGGTGAACTTCAGCCTTCTATTTCTTATCTAGCTTTCTGTTTTTTGTTGCAGTCTCCAGTGGCAGGGGTTCTTAACTAACGAGATGTCTATCAGAATCGCCTGTGGAGCATTTTTAATCTATCCGTTCAACTCCTGAAGGTATAACAGGATTTGGAGAGGGTGTGGGGAAGGTGAATTAAAAAACTCTCCAGATGGTTTTTCTAAATGTCCTGTCTCTTTTTACTCTTGTTGGGAACCACTACTGTCTTGGTATACTTTTCCATATTGTGCACTTCATTTCTCAAATATATTTCCCATTATAAGTCACCCTTTTAAAAATGTTTGTAACATTTCATTGTAAGAATTGAATAATTCCTACTTTGAAGCTCTGGACTATACACCATTTTGTCATTAGAAAAATGGCTGTAAGCCCTAACATTTTAAATACATAAAGGTAATTTATTTCTGCAACGAATTTGCAGTTTTTCCCTTTGCTGAATGCATTAACTGTATCTAGTGTTTTTATAATCAGTACAATTCCCAACCGTTCTTCACTTCTATATACATGTGAATTCAATATGCAGATATTTCTTATGTTGACAAGTCTCTGTCAGTATTCTATGGAAATGACACCAACATTACACATTATTTGTGTCCTTTCCAAGTTCCAAAAACAAAACAGAAATAATCATGGCCAAATGAGATTTTACAGGCATAAAAATCTGCTCCTCTTCATCATTTTCAATCCTGTACCTTGCTAGATTTCCTCTAATCTCTAGGAATTTTTTTCTTTTCTTATAATTCTTCCTACTGACACAAATAGTTGTCATTTTTTTCATCCTTCTCTGCGAATACCATTTCATTTCTGAAAAACAGAGCTTAAAGATATTCGTCTTTATATCGCTAGCTGCAGAGATTTCATTCAAATTCTCCCTTCTTTCCTGACAAATGGGGTCTGGAAGCTTAACAAGGATCCTCTTTATATCTGGACATGAGACTGGGAAAGCTGCGTAAATACACTCCAACAATCTCCACTATAGGATAACAACCACGTTTCTACAAATAGACAGGTCTGCCAACAAGCACTGAGGATACTGTGATGAGCTACACTGCATGATACCCTGAAGAATCTAGTTTTCCCTTGATGTGCATAGCTAAGATCTATTATCACCAAAAGAAATTACAAGTGGGTATCCAGGGGAGAATCTGCACTGAAAACACACTTCTTTCACAAAATTCATGCTATCTCCCTTTGAGACAGTAATGCAGACCAGTCAACTAAATCTTGAAGATGATCAGAAGACAAAATGCAAAATAATTAACTTTTTTCCCCATCCATGTAACGTATTTTTTTCCAATTGTTCTTAGTTGAGTTTATCATCACTTTCTAGCAGTGGAAATAGGTAAACAGGATTTTGTTTACCTCAAACATCATCTTTTTATTTACAGGAAATACAGAGATATTTTATTTACATCAGAGAATACTACAAACACCTCTACGCAAATAAACTAGAAACTCTAGAAGAAATGGATAAATTCCTTGACACATACACTCTCCCAAGACTAAACCAGGAAGAAGTTGAATCTCTGAATAGACCAATAACAGGCTCTGAAATTGTGGCAATAATCAATAGCTTACCAACCAAAAAGAGTCCAGGACCAGATGGATTCACAGCCGAATTCTATCAGAGGTACAAGGAGGAACTGGTACCATTCCTTCTGAAACTATTCCAATCAATAGAAAAAGAGGGAATCCTCCCTAATTCATTTTATGAGGCCAGCATCATTCTGATACCAAAGCTGGGCAGAGACACAACCAAAAAAGAGCATTTTAGACCAATATCCTTGATGAACATTGATGCAAAAATCCTCAATAAAATACTGGCAAACCGAATCCAGCAGCACATCAAAAAGCTTATCCACCGTGATCAAGTGGGCTTCATCCCTGGGATGCAAGGCTGGTTCAAAATACACAAATCAATAAATGTAATCCAGCATATAAACAGAACCAAAGACAAAAACCACATGATTATCTCAATAGATGCAGAAAAGGTCTTTGACAAAATTCAACAACCTTCATGCTAAAAACTCTCAATAAATTAGGTATTGATGGGACATATCTCAAAATAATAACAGCTATCTATGATAAACCCACAGCCAATATCATACAGAATGGGCAAAAACTGGAAGCATTCCCTTTGAAAACTGGCACAAGACAGGGATGCCCTCTCTCACCACTCCTATTCAGCATAGTGTTGGAAGTTCTGGCCAGGGCAATTAGGCAGGAGAAGGAAATAAAGGGTATTCATTTAGGAAAAGAGGCAGTCAAATTGTCCCTGTTTGCAGACGACATGATTGTATATCTAGAAAACCCCATTGTCTCAGCCCAAAATCTCCTTAAGCTGATAAGCAACTTCAGCAAAGTCTCAGGATACAAAATCAATGTACAAAAATCACAAGCATTCTTATACACCAATAACAGACAAACAGAGAGCCAAATCATGAGTGAACGCCCATTCACAATTGCTTCAAAGAGAATAAAATACCTAGGAATCCACCTTACAAGGGACGTGAAGGACCTCTTCAAGGAGAACTACAAACCACTGCTCAAGGAAATCAAAGAGGATACAAACAAATGGAAGAACATTCCATGCTCATGGGTAGGAAGAATCAATATCATGAAAATGGCCATACGGCCCAAGGTAATTTATAGATTCAATGCCATCCCCATCAAGCTACCAATGACTTTCTTCACAGAATTGGAAAAAACTACTTTAAAGTTCATATGGAACCAAAAAAGAGCCCGCATCGCCAAGTCAATCCTAAGCCAAAAGAACAAAGCTGGAGGCATCACGCTACCTGACTTCAAACTATACTACAAGGCTACAGTAACCAAAACAGCATGGTACTGGTACCAAAACAGAGATATAGATCAATGGAACAGAACAGAGCCCTCAGAAATAATGCCGCATATCTACAACTCTCTGATCTTTGACAAACCTGACAAAAACAAGAAATGGGGAAAGGATTCCCTATTTAATAAATGGTGCTGGGAAAACTGGATAGCCATATGTAGAAAGCTGAAACCGGATCCCTTCCTTACACCTTATACAAAAATTAATTCAAGATGGATTAAAGACTTAAACATTAGACCTAAAACCATAAAAACCTTAGAAGAAAACCTAGGCATTACCATTCAGGACATAGGCATGGGCAAGGACTTCATGTCTAAAACACCAAAAGCAATGGCAACAAAAGCCAAAATTGACAAATGGGATCTAATCAAACTAAAGAGCTTCTGCACAGCAAAAGAAACTACCATCAGAGTGAACAGGCAACCCACAAAATGGGAGAAAATTTTTGCAACCTACTCATCTGAAAAAGGGCTAATATCCAGAATCTACAAAGAACTTAAACAAATTTACAAGAAAAAAACAAACAACCCCTCAAAAAGTGGGCAAAGGACATGAACAGACACTTCTCAAGACATTTATGCAGCCAAAAAACACATGAAAAAATGCTCACCATCACTGGACATCAGAGAAATGCAAGTCAAAACCACAATGAGATACCATCTCACACCAGTTAGAATGGCAGTCATTAAAAAGTCAGGAAACAACAGGTGCTGGAGAGGATGTGGAGAAATAGGAACACTTTTACACTGTTGGTGGGACTGTAAACTAGTTCAACCATTGTAGAAGTCAGTGTGGCGATTCCTCAGGGATCTAGAACTAGAAATACCATTTGACCCAGCCATCCCATTACTGGGTATATACCCAAAGGACTCTAACTCATGCTGCTATAAAGACACATGCACACGTATGTTTATTGTGGCACTATTCACAATAGCAAAGACTTGGAACCAACCCAAATGTCCAACAGTGATAGACTGGATTAAGAAAATGTGGCACATATACACCATGGAATACTATGCAGCCATAAAAAATGATGAGTTCATGTCCTTTGTAGGGACATGGATGAAATTGGAAATCATCATTCTCAGTAAACTATCGCAAGAACAAAAAACCAAACACCACATGTTCTCACTCATAGGTGGGAATTGAACAATGAGAACACATGGACACAGGAAGGGGAACATCACACTCTGGGGACTGTTGTGGGGTGGGGGGAGGGGGGAGGGATAGCATTGGGAGATATATCTAATGCTAGATGACGAGTTAGTGGGTGCAGCACACCAGCATGGCACATGTATACATATGTAACTAACCTGCAGATTGTGCACATGTACCCTAAAACTTAAATTATAATAATAAAAAAAAGAAAAAAAAAAGAAATACAAAGGCATTTTTTAAAAATCAGTTCTAATTGAATAAGGAAAGATAATCAATAAGATATATCTAAACATAATTGGAAGATTTATAGCTTCGAGATTTAATGAATAAAGAAAATGCATCATTTTTTCTTGACAGTATAAAAAATAAAAGAAAAAACATAAAGATAGTTATGCTACATACTCATGTTTTCATATCGCTGAAACAGCCTCACAGGGATAAATGAAAAAGTTCTCTAAGAGTAAAACACAAATTATACATAATAGAATCCTTTCTAGTATTGGAAAAAAAAGTAATAGGCATGCTCATGCGATTACTGTGTTAGTAAAAAGGACCAGGCTGTATTAATAACAGATAGGTAAATGTCTTATTTTACGTCTTGAATAATAGCATTTATGTTTGAATTAATAGGCAAAAGAGCAACTGTTTTCAGATATTTTGATGCTGAGCAGTTTAAAAGGGGCTAAATACAGAATACTACCTACTTTTAAAAATCTAATCAGTGAAATTTAAACATAAATGGTTTCTAGACAGAATATTCACTAAAGGCTTTTAAAACTTGCTCTCATTTACTGTAAATAAAGTTAAAGGGTGTTTGCTTGGCATACATTCTGGTCCTTGTGCTCTTTTTAAATTACTTTTTTAATTTCAGAAATATTTTGCTTCCATGTAAAAAGTGTGCCACCAAGCTTCTGACTGCCTGGAAGGGAATATTGCTGCTCATTTCTTAACTTTCTACAAATATTCTATTTGTGCTTAGTCAAAATGGCATGCCCTTCTATATGCCTAAAGAAAAAAATGGCTCATGAGTTTTTGATCTCAGAAATATTTTTGCCCTCATCTGATAATGAACAAGGTGAAGAAATTCAAAGAAAATAAATCAATCTATAATTGCATCCTGTTTGATATATTGAAAATATATAGTACTTTGGAAGGAAAATACTCTGCTTTAGAAAACATATTTAGGAAGCAATCACATAAAATATCCAAAAGACAGAGTATTGAAAGACAATAAGAGCAAGGAAACAACTGCTTGGAGCAGAGTATTTGCCCTAGAGCAGTGCATAGTTCTCTCCATAAACTCCTAATTTCTCTTCAACTCTTCTCTAGTTTAATAATGAGCATTATATAAGAGTCCAAAAGCACTGCAGTTTGGGATGTCCTTTCTTTCTCAGCATCCTCATCTAATTGGTCACAACAACTTAATGATCCTAATGATCTTATTTCAGGAAGCCAATTCATACCCATTGCCATTAGATGATTAATAAGTTATCAAAAGAATATATTGGTCCCTACCTAAATTAACCTGAAGATTCAATCAATATAATACTAAGAAAATTGCAACACACTTTTTTGTATAAAATTGAAAAGTTGATTCTAAAACGTATTTGAATACCCAAAGAACCTAGATTAGACAAATGTAGACAAAATACCTAGATTAAGCAAAATAATATTGGAAAGGAAGAATGAAGTTAGAGAACTCAAGCTCTTTGATTTCCAGAGTTAACACAAAGCTATAGTAGTAAAGATTATGGCATCGACATAAGGAAAGATAGATCACAGAAACAATGGAGAAATCCAGAAACAGATCCACACATACAGTCAACTGATTTTGCAAAGCTACCAAAGCAATTTAATGGGAAAAGGAAATTTTTTGAACAAACAGTACCAGAACAATTGGATATCCATGTAGAATATAATGAACCCCAAGACCTACCTCATATAACACACAAAAATTAATTTTGTTCGAGACATAGATCTACATAAAAGCTAAGATGACAAGGGAAAACTTAGAATATAGATAAGATAATATAGAAAAACATTTTTATGACCTAGAGGAGTAATGAAGATCTTTTATGGTGGAGTCATAAACACAAACTATTTTTTTAAATGATACACTGAACTTCACAAAAATTTCTACTCAGCAAAAGATGCCATTAATGAAGTGTAAACACTAGCTATAGGAAAAATTATAAATTACAAAGGATTTGTATCCAAACAATCTAAATAAAAAAGAGAGAAATGACTTGAACAGACACATCACAATAGAGGATTTAAAATGGCCTATAAGGACATGAAAAGGTGCTAAACTTTATTAGTTATTAGAGGAATGTAAATTAAAATGTTGCCAAGAATATGTAACACTGGAATTATCATAGATTACTGGTAAGAGTACAAAGTGGTATGACCATTTTGGAAAACCATTCAGCAGTTTGTATTTTTTCTTTTAAGTTAAAAGTAATCTAACCTGCCTTTATACCCAACAATTTTACTCCTAGCTTCTTTCCCAGAAGAAATGAAAATACATGTCCATACAAAGATTTTTACAAAAATTTTGAAACAATTTTATTCATAGTAACAAAAAACTAAAAACAATTCATATGTCTATCAATTGGAAACTGGATAAACAAATCATGATATAGTCATACAATAAATAATACTCAGCAATAAAGAATAATTAATCACTAATACATACAACAATATAGTTGCTTCTCAAAGAAAATATATTGAGCAAAAGAGGCCAGAAGAAAAAGTACTCATGCTATGATTTCATTTGTATAAAATCCTGAAACAGAAAAAATGAATTCACGATGACAGGAATCAGAACAACGCTTGCCTATGAGGGGATGGGGATTGACTGGCAGGAGACAAGAGAGAACTTTCTAGGGTGATGACAACGTTCCATATCTTGATCAGGTATTGGTTACATAAGTATATATTGGTCCAACCTCATCATATTATGTATGTAGTGTGCATTTCACTGTATATACATTTAACTTCAATTAGAAAGGGTACAAAATTCCAGTTATGAGACCAATAAGTTCTTGAGATCTAATGTACATCACAGTAACTTAGTTGATAATAATGCATTGCATATTTGAAATTTGCTAAAGGAGTAAATCTGAAGTATCCTGAAAACAATAAACAAAAAGGGTAGCTATGTCAGGTAATGGATATGTTAAGTAACTTGACTGTGGGAATCATTAGAGTATACTTATATCAAAACACTATGTTGTATGTCTGAAATATGTGCATTTTTTTGTTAACTATACTTTAATAAGAAAAAAGTATATTGTGTGCCAGATACTGTCCTAGGTGCAATCCTACTTGATTCTTATAATATCTCCTCCCTACTTCTAGATTTAAAAACAACTGAGGCTTAGATATTTTCTTCATTCACTTAAAAATATTTAATGAGTGTGTGCTATGTGCCAGGCACTGTATTCAGCACTGGTTATACAGTGCAAATCAAACAGATAATGTTCTTTCTCTTCTGGATATTAATTAAAATAAGATTACAAAGTAAAGTAATGGCTGTAAAAAAAAAATGGGTTCCTAGACAGATTAGTGGAAAAACCATGAGAGTGCTCATTTCAGAGGAGTGGGATTTTAGGGAAAGCTTTTCTAAGACGATTGTATTTTATCTGCAGAACATACGTAAGTTAATATAAGTTAACTAGGCTAGCCCAAGGCTGGAAGAAGACTAATAAGGGAGGAATATAAAAAAGTTAGGAGGCAGAGAAAAGAGCTGGATGCTAGGAAAAGCATGTAATTGATGAGACGCTTTTGAAACTGGTCTTGCTAGTAATTGCACCAGGGCAACAGGTACAAACCAGAATAATGGTCACTTGACTAAGGGCTTATTGACCCCTACAACATTTCTAATGGGTGGCCAGTGTGACAGAAATATACAGAAAGAAAAGAGTAATGAATATGAGGCAGTGAGGTGAAAGAAGTACATAGGCCCATGTCATGTTGGGGCTTGTGGGCCATATTATGTGGTTTGGATTTCATTCCAAGTGTAATAATAGAAGCTTCACTTATTTTCACCAAAGGGTTTTAAACAGACATATGTTTAAATCACGATATGATTTATAACTGTAAAAGAACACTAGGCTGGTGAGTGAAGAATGGTTAAGTAACTTGACAAGTGGTGCATGCCCAGGAAGTGGTTGAGCTTAAAGTACTTCAGTTAGAATAAGTGAAGCTTCCATTACACCTGGAATGATGAGTCAGTTTACAGCAGATCCTTCCAGCTCCAAGCAAACCTTGGGTTCCTGTGGCTCCGACACATCTTCATTGCAGTCTCATGAGAGACCCTGAGCCTGAAATGCCCAGCTACATTTCTCCTAAATTCCTGACTTGTAGAAATGGTGAGGATTATAAATATGTTTTGAGCTACTAAGCTTTGAGGTAATTTGTTACATAGCAATAGATAATTGGTACAGATTGTCCTTTTCATTGTAATAAAGGATGCTGTTCTTAGGCATACAGAATTCACCTTTTAGCTTTATTCTGGAGATTTTGAAAATATATAACAAATTTCTAAACAAAGAAATAGGTGGTCTTATTTCTAATAAAAATAAACAAAAATAAGTAAATAAGAAAAGCAGAACTAATTTGTATTTTGTAAAAGCAATACACATCTTTCTATTCATTAGGAAAAATCACCTTAAAATACAGATAGAATTTAATTGGCAACAAAACAGATACAAATAAGATCCATTCAAAACCTTCTGTAGTCCTAATTGCATGTATATACTGATGTATCATCTACCAAAGACACATCTATAGAGATATATGAAAACTATGTGTATTGTAGTTTAACAAAGAACACTTACACAGGCCCTTATCACACATATTAACAAATTAAAATTCTTCTGCTTATGTGTTTACTGTTAAAGCTAGTCATTTCTTCTTCACATTACAATTGAAGTCTTAATCTTTGATTCAATCCACTAGCAGCCTAAGATAACTATAAATATTTTAATTTACTTACTTTGAATTTCATACATCTTAAATTTCATAGTCAAGACCCAGACTCAACTCAGTCATATGCCTAGTTCTTTCTTCAAGGCTTAAGATTTAAAATTAACTGACTAGCTACCACAAAAGAAGTAAAAAATGAACTTTAATCTGCTTATTTTTTTTTATTATAGGCATTAGTGTTTGGACTTTAGTTCCAAGATTTGCCATAGCAATGCTTATGATTTGATATACATAATAACAATCCAAATTTTAGGGTAGGGTGAGATAGGATAGAGGTAGAGAGGTAAAAAGAGAACTCTGTCTATGCATGAATTTGATTGGGAATTAGCTTGACTCTGCCATCTCTATTTTCTGCTTCAGATGTTACTTCTCTGCCCAAGACTGTCAGATGAAAGAGTTTCTCTAATAAGGGCTTTAACAAATACTGCTGTACATTAAGAAGTTTTCTTCTACAAAGCCAGCCAGCTTTGTTGTCTCATGCACTGGGTATTTGTTAGCTACTTTTAACTTCTTCAATTTATAAAATGTCCAGCTTGGTTGTGAGGGATTTGATTCATGGTTTTTTCCATAGTTTTATACACTGGTAACCAATCGGCATCATAAGTGAAGGCATTCTGTGATTAGTTCCAGAGTGCTCCAAAGAAGAAACTCAGCTGGGCGCCGTGGCTCATGCCTGTAATCCTGGCACTTTGGGACGCCAAGGCAGGCAGAACACGAGGTCAGGAGTTCAAGACCAGCCTGACCAACATGGTGAAACTCCATCTCTACTAAAAATACAATAATTAGCCGGGCATGGTGATGCACACCTGTAATCCCAGCTACTCAGGAGGCTAAGGCAGGAGAATTGCTTGAACCCGGGAGGCGGAGGTTTCAGTGAGCCAAGATCGCGCTACTGCACTCCAGCCTGGGCAACAAAGCAAAACTCCATTTCAAAAAAAAGAAAAAGAAGAAGAAGAAATTCAAAGTGTTTTGCACTCCTTTTCATCTTGGCAGAAGCCTTTTCAAAAACTGCCAAGGTCCCTCTGTTCCAGTTCTGCAGGCTACACAGGCTAACCCTTGGGTAGACACGTCAGAACTGGAGGTTATTTTTACATAAAGCATCAGCCCAGAAATAGGCTGGCCTCACCTTACATTGTAGTTGTTCTGTTGGTATGCACATAAGATACTTCTAGAAAGCTCAAAATTGCCTAAGGCTAGGTCCCAGGCCAAATCCAGTCACATCCATTGCTTTATTTCTATAACTGTTTTCTAGCAACAACAGCAGAACTGAATAGATTCAACAGACAGCATATGTCCTACAAAGCCTAAAGTATTTACTATATGGCCCTTTACAACAAAAGTTTGCCAACCTCTGAATTACATTATGGAGCATTTGTCAAAGGAGTTCTCTCCTACAGTCTTCACACCATTCCAATGTCGTACTGAGACAAATTTTACTTTGGTCAACAGATCTTTAGTGATAACTTAAATTCTACTCTCTTCACCTCATATTCACCCTGAGAGACATAGTCTCAAAGTTCATATCATGGGCCATTGAAAATTCTATTGTAATCTTATCTCAAGGGCTTTTCATTTTTTTTGTGAGAATATCTGTAAATTAAAGTAATTCACTTTCTGTGATGTTTATCTAGTACTTCAGTATTTTACATTGTATTAAGAATTCTCATAAACATTATCAGCTATACTCCAACATGATTCTTCTATTGACATTAGCCAAACTTCTGACCAGTTCATATTATGTCCCAAGAAGGGGAAAGATGAAAAATAATACATAGGGAGAAATTTGTAATTTCTCTACTGGTTTGATTTCAGGGGAGAAAAGCAGATATTCTTTAACCTTTCTGTGAGACTCTTGGAAGGACACTCAATTTCTCAAATTCTCTTTTGGATATCTCTGCATAAAGATAAGATCTGATTTAACTCAACCATCTCTCATCAAAGGAGGGTCTCAAAAACATTCTGTAAGTCTTCAGTATTTTCTTCAACTCCCTTATATCATCATAAAATGGCAACAATACAACAATAATAAAAAAAAATTGACCTCCATTATAATTATTCCAAATGGGGCCCCCAAAAATGAAGTGGCTATACTCCTATTATATTATCCCTCATTCAATAGGTATAGCCATAAGTTCATTCATTCATTCAACATTTATTAATTTCACGCCATATATAAAACAAGTACTAGTATTAATGGTTTTTAAATCCAGTAAAAAGAGAGACATACTACCCTTGAGAATCACAATACAGTGAGCAGGGTTGATCAGGAATTGATAACTTATAGAATAAGGTGATTGGTGCTAACAATAGAGGTATGTATCACATGCTATGAAAGCAGAAAGGAGTGTTGTAGGAGCTAAAATGGTTTCATAAGTCCACTCTGAAGTGTGGTAAGAGTTTATCAGACAGAGTAAAAAGCAAGGGCAAAAGCACACAAGCAAGAGGAACTCCCATAGCCATAAGAAAGCTGGAATGCACACAGACACGGTCCCTAGGAGGGAACAGAAAGGGAATGCTGAAATCTAGCTCTTGTTGCCAAGCCAGAAGGCTTGCTAGAGGCTATATCAGTCTGGAGGGAGAGGATGATTTTATAACTCATCCGCATCTGCCCTGAAGGAGTGCCCTTTTTATTTCCCACAAAGTCAACTTAGGTACTTCAGGCAGCCCTGAATGCAGGTGATATGCAGAACATGGAATTAATCTCATAAGCCCTACAGACCCATCATACAGTTTGCAGCAGGGGAATTACGCAATCAGGTATTTCTTTTTCTTTAAATTTAAGATATTTCTCAAAGTGATATGGAGGATGAGCTCATGGAAAGGCTTTAGTTGCAGAGGAAAGTTAGAAGAATGTTATAGTGGTCAAAGTGAGAAATCATGAAGGCCAAGTCTAATGCAGGGGTGGTGGGGATGGAGAGTAGAATTGATCAAGTCATGGAGTTTCTTTGCATTGTCTGGCTTTTGTACAATTCCCTCAGCACAAATGAACAAAAATTAATGAGAGTAGGCCTGACATTCTCAAAGCAATCACCTGCACACTAGGCTGAGACTCGTGTTCTGCTTCTTCCCTGTTGAGTGAGTTCTCACTCTTCAGGAGTTTTGATCGGCTTTGAAGTTGAAGCTAAGAATACTCACTGAATGTCCAAACTGCTTCCTTGTCCCTCAAGGTCATTTGGCTCTTGACATCTCAATCGTTTCAGTAATCCTATTGTCAAGTAATTCCACTTTCATCTTCTTTGCTTGCCCTGAGCCCATCCTTCATATTGATCTTTGCCCTATTTACAATAATGTGGTCTCTGGCTTTTACCACACAAATCTGGAAATGAATAATCAAGGGACTAGGAGGTTATAGTAGGACAACAGAGTCTCTGCTATCTCACTGTCTCTCACTTCACTGGGAATCTGTTTTGGGAAATCATCTTTTATTGCTGGGAGCCTGGGGAAATCAAGAAGCTAGCCAACCATTATGCTCCTTGGTTTGATGAAGGTTTTCAGGAATCCAGAATAACTCTAAGTTAGTAAGATACTTCAAAACGGAACCAAGTTAATTACACATAAGCTTATTACCTTCAAATCATTTTACAAACGTCATAGCAAGTCAACAAATTAGATTTTAATGAATCTAAATAGGTGTTAGCCTCGACCATTAAAATCACACATTCATTTGAGGCATAATAGACTTACACTTGGGACACTATTGGCAGGATATGTCTCCAATGAGAAGAATTGTAACTACGCACATTTCTTTTTAAGGCTATGAACATTATATTCTTATGAAGAAAAAAGATTAACTTTTGCTAGTTTTCAGCATTTCCTTAACTAAAATCCAGGGGCCAGATCACATTTAAAGCATGCCATCAATCACTTAGAGCTAAAACAGGCCCTAGAAAAATAATCTATCACTATTAGCTGAGATCCTGTCTAGGGTGGGGGACTCTACTTTTCGTAAGACTAACAACAGCTATTAGATTCATAGATATAAGCACAAATATATTCAAATTTATTTCATTCATCTAATAATACTTATTATTTACTTACTATACATAGACAATGTGCTTGCAAGAGATTTAATAATGAGTATGACTTAGTCCTGCCCTAAGAAGTGTATAGTCTGATTATAAACAGGTAATATAATACAAGAGAATAGGTATGCACTGGAAATCCTGGAACCCAGAGCAGGTGTGCATAAGCAGGGTTTTCTCTAATGGGAAAACTCATCAGAGTGTCAGAGAATGAGCTTGAGACAAATAAAGACAGGAAGTCAGGTGGGGTTGGGGTGAAGGAACAGTGCCCCAGGATGAAGTATAGCATGAAACAAAAAAAAATAGATTAATTTTGATGAACTATTAGAAGTTTGGTCTTGCTGGTATAACAAAAGTCAGTAAAATAGAAACAGTATGGAGAGGTCAGCATGGGCCATTTTTAAGATCTGCTTTTTCTCAGGTTTTACAAGCTCCAGAAGTTTTTCTCTTGTACGATTTATTCCTGAGTTCCAATATATTATTACAAGAAAAGCAGTGAATAAAAAAATCTTCACAGATAAACAAAATATGCTTCAATGCTTGTGTCTGAGCACAATTTGAAAATTACTTCTGTAGGAAATGAGACAACAATAAATGTTACATAGAGAAATCGAGTGGTCAGATTTGAATTTTTGTTCCATCACGTGGGCTACAGAATAGAGAATGGGATTGATAATACTGTAAGCAGTATGATCAATACCTGATAGAGACAAGAAACTAGATCTGAGAAATATTTGAGGGTTAAATTGTCATAGGTGGATGATTTATTAGATTTACTCCATGAGCGAGAAGGAGACATCAAGGATAACTTCCAGAGTTCTAGCTTATGTAATTGAGTTGGAGACTACAGAAAAGGCATTAAATTTTGCCTCCGAATGCAAAAGACTGGGGTGGAGACAGAAATGGTGAATTTAGTGGTGAGCAGGAAATTGGACATGAGGAAATATGAAGGTATGAAGAGAAGGACAGAATCAGATGTATATCTGGGTGTCATAATTATCTTTGCCATAATTACAGCTACTGTTTAAGTGGTACTTACACTTAAACATACCACTCTCTGGGTTAAGTGCTGATACCAGCCTCTGGGTTAAGTGCTCCATACGTACTAATTCATGTAACTCTGACAACAAGCTTAGGTCTAGAGATGCAGGGTGTCATGCTTAAGATCACACAACTAGGAGAACTGGCAGATTTGGGATATTTAAATCTACCTGGCTTACAATACCTTCTCTTAACCATCCCCATCTGAGACTGATATCTCCCAAAGAAGCATGTAGAACACTGAATCTCTGGGGCAGGGGGCAGTCTGCTTCAAAGGGTATCAGGCAGAACTGAATGGATAGCTGTAAATACATGTTCAATATTTTTTCTCAGAAGTCGAAAACACATAGATATTTAGAGGTCAGGCATGTACATAAATGTGTGCAGAAGCTGGGACTATTGGCAAAAGAAAGTCATGGGACAAATAGTTGAATTAGAGAGTGCTTGACCCAAGTTAAGGTATTCCAATTCGAGGTTTTACTTTTTAAAAAACACAATTCTGACAAAACAAAAAAATCTTCCATTAGAGTGACTATAACCTACTAGTTTGGCCCATGTTTTCTAATTCTCTCTATTCAAACTACAGAACAAAAATATAACATCTTTATAAAAGGTAAATAACCACAAGATGAAGTAGAAGAAAACATAATAGAGAACGGGACTTTTAAAAGTGCTTTAAGACAGAGAATTTTTGTATCTTTTGCAAGTCTGAATTAAAAGACACAGCCCATTATGTAATACAATGCTCCACACATAAAGAACCATGAGACAATTTCCTCCTAAATAATGCTAAGAAAATGTTTGACCACCCCAAATAATTTAGAAACTTCCCTTTATCTATCAATGAGAACTTTTGCTTTACTCCTAGGTCAATTAAGACTCAAGCTAATATCTCTTTGTTCTCTCACAATTGACTAGTAGTTCCCAAAATATTAACATTTGTAGGCTTGTTATAATATCTACAATTTATTTTATAATATTTTGTTATTTTCAGTATGATACTATATATGTGCCAGTTAGTTTAACCTGTAATTCTAGGAGGAGTCCAAGAATGCCCAGACTAGTTGGTCAGTTGGCTTTATATCTAGAAGGCCCATACAGGGCAACTACAGGTCCTTCTTACTGAGGTACATCTAGCCACAATCAACACTTTACTCATTATCAAACTAAATATAAAAGATTAGTCTTTATTGGTGAACTAGTGTCTGGTTAATCACTATAATGAATGTATTAATGGATTCCCTTTGGTGAAAGTAAAGGCATTGAAGATATGTGTATTGGCTAAAACAGTTAAACACTTCTTACTCTTAAATGAACTGTACATAAGATTCCATTGTGGCCTATATCCCATATCTTTTAGCGATGGGGCCCACGGTTTTATCCATAATCATTCTGTGTCCAGACATTGGATTAGGAGGATTTCTGACTGAATGACACTGACTAAAGGTCACAGAATCCTGCTCCTAGAATGTTGCTATGTCCACCTCACTGAATGTTACATACAGGGTGGGTGAAAGTATCTAAAAGGTCAAAGACCTAGGCCCTCATTGAGCTTCCTGAATAGATTTTGTTCCTGATTTGCTAATGAGGGATTATCTAATAAATATCTAAATGTGTGATAAAATTTGGACTTAGACTTGCTTTTTTTTATAACCTGGTAGTGAGCTTGTGAGAGAGAGAAGCTATCTCCCACCACTTTGAACTTCTTGGGTGGTTATCCTTATCTAACCAAAAAACCAAGAGTTTTGCCAGATTTGTCTTCTATCAGTTAAAAAGAGTGCTATGAAATCTTCAATATGATAAATTCTTTAAATCCTTAAAGTCCTTTGAAGCAAAAGCAATACATGCTTTTGTCATTAAGAAAAACTATTCTCTAAATTTATGTTTTCAAAATAATCTTTGCTTTCTGCAAAACAGTAGTACCAAAAATAGTCTACTCAGCTCAACAACAACAACAAAAACACAAATGCATACTTAAAGGTGTAAAGGAAATGCTTTACAAATAAATAACATTTGAGCAATACAAAGACATCCTGGTTGAAAGTTTAAATGCACAAAGAGATAAAAGGGAAATATCACTTTATGAGAAAACTCAAAATATAATGAAGTGGGTTATAATTAAATATTACAACTGCATTTTAAGAAAAGATATAATAAAATGCACTTGGTTCCTTACTTTGTTGCCAGTAATTGAATATACAGTCAAAAAATTTGAATACATTTATTTTATGCAATGGATTATTTCAGCTTGTTTACATTTCAATTCAAAAAGAAGCAGAGATACTCAGTAGCAAGATAATCAGGTCAATTATATTTCAATAAGCAATTCAAAGAAAGGCCCTCATATTACACTTCAAAACTATTCTGTACATCAACATCAGATACCAGCTTTCATACAAACTAGCCATGACAACTCACTGAAGCAGTATCAAATAATTTCTTCATCAAAAAGCTCTCTCGGATGTTTATACTTTCTAAGATGGGAATACTAAAGCATCAATTAAAACTTATCAGGGAAGTCAAAGATACAAATCTGATCAATTAAAAAATCCCCACAGAAGCAAAGGGATCCTATACAAAACCAAAATAAAATACTTTAGTTATTGAACAATATTTTACATTTTCAAAAAATAGTTATTTGTAGTTTATGCACATCATAAGTTTATACAGACAACACACTTTGTACTTTTCTATTTTTTTGAGACACCATTAATCCCAAATACAGTCAAACAGATGTAGCCTTTCACATACCAAATTCTCATATATAAATACAAATAGAGTCCATCTAATTCAACTAATAAAACACAAGATTATTTCCCCTAGAAAATGTGATATTGTTTTGAGTGACTAAGAATAAAATTCCAGTGTTTTGTATTTTTCTCTTCTAATCACTCTAATGTGAATTGTCCCAGGCTTGTAAGAACATCTACTAAGAGCTAGTAAAGCAAAATTAATATAGCATAAGAACAAACTAATAATCTCTTATTTTCTTCATCAATACTACCACTTACCACCCACTCCTCCCCGAATGCATCAATAACTATAGTAGCAAAAATTAGCATTAGTCAATCTGATACAAAACCACTTTGGTTGCAAAACTACATAGAAGCTATTCTGTAGTTAATTACTTGGGGAGAAGCTACATCAAACTCATATTTTGGTAGTAAGTCAATACCAGCCCTTCCTCAAAATAAGAAATGAAAAGTAAACCAAATTCATCTTGTCTTTGATATTCATATTTGCAGATCTTAAAAGACATTATTACAAAACAAAGAGGACATTGAAAACCTGTGAAGGTCAAACTGGGCAGACAGAATGTAGTTTTTTGAGATAATTTTAGTTTCTGAATATAGCTGGCATTTAGACCTACACAACGTCGTAGACACTAGCTGCATGTAGCCATTGGACATTTGAAATGTAGCTAGTTCAAATTAAGATGTATCATAAGTATAAAATATACTCCAGATTCTTAAGACTTAAAAAAGATTGTAAAATATTGTATTAATATTTTATATTATGTCTTAAAATGGTAATATTGTGGATATTCTGAGGTAAATAGTATATATTAAAATTAATTTCATCGGGTTTTTAAATTTTTTTAATGTGGCTACTAATATAATTTAAATTACATATGTGGCTTGTATTTGTGTCTTGCATTGCATTTCTATTGTACATCAGTGATTTAGAGCATAACCACTATGATGTGAAGTACACCTTGTAGAAATGTCTGTAGTACCATTTGGCTCAGAACTTATCAAAACTTTGCCAAGCAGCATGAAACAGTTTTAAAAGCATATTTTGTACTGTGGATCATGCAGTTTTCCTAGTCTAAGGGGAGGTATAACTCAAGAGTGTTTGGAGAGTAAAAAATGGCAGAAAAGGAAGAATGTTTTGTGAAAAAAACTTAAACTCTGAGCTCTAGCTGGCTTTAGCTTGACTTTTTCTGGTTCCTGATCCCAATAAATAATTCCTATTTCAGAGGAAAGCTCTCTTTTTCTGGGTGGAGGTTGAAGGACAAGTAGTTAAAAAATTGGGAATAGGTATTAACCAGTGTATGAACATTTCTAAGAGATCTGAGGCCCAGCCCAAGTGAACAAGCAAAAAGGAAAGAATGACATGAGTAATTTAATAATTCCTTAAGGTTTACGGTCCCATCTCATCCCTTTTATCTCTACTTCCTTCCTATCATTGCCTTTTTGTTTCCCTTTTTCTTTTCACTTACATCCATGTTTACCCTCATTTTTTATTCTGTTGGTCATTTTGTACCTTCTTGTCTCCCAATTCTGATTGGCATCCCTCTCACCTTTAGTCATTCTGTCTCTCTCTTTTTTCTTTACTTTGTATTTCCTTTTAAAATTTGTATTAAATGTTTATAACATGGACCTGAACTATATTTTAATAGTCTTTACTTTCTTTCGGATTCTTTCTTTAAGAAGAAAAGATACAGGAAATAAGTGGAGGAAAATTAAACACTCAAAGACACGAAAGTAATTTTTATTTCTACAGGGCCCTTGATGGGGTTGTCATTTTTGTTTTTCCTTCAGGATTAGTGGCCTACCCCTTGGGCCCTTCCCCTGGCCTAGGGCAATGTGGGCCAAGAAGAAACATTTATCAGAATCACTTAAAGCAGCCTCCTAGGTCCTACCCGGACCTAGAATTGGGCTCTTTTGGTGGAAATCACCAGTCTTAGGAACGTAGGTTAGCAAAATAAACAGACTATCCATTATCCTTGACATTAATACATGTCCTATGAATATATAATACATGAAAAGAACCTATCAAAGTGTATATGATTATTTTAAAATGATGGCTTATGGGAAAATTTTTAATTATTCGCTTTTGTATTTGAAAATTAAAAAAATGAAAAATAACAGGCCTGCAGGCATGTGATCGATTGACAAATAAGTTATCAAAGTGGTGTTTAACAGAATCCTTTTGAGGCAGGGGTAAGTTTACTTCAAATTGCTATTATGGGTTTCTTAAAATACATTTCAGAATAGTAAAGACAATCATTTCTGGGGGAAAAAACATGGTCATTCAACTCATAAATTGGTTCATTCATATAAACAGAAAATACACTTTTCCATTCTGCTAAGTATCAAAATACCTTTAGGTGAAGCAAAAATTTTGAAAGGCATAAAATCTAAAGTAGCTTTCATCTAACACTCTCTTCAATTATTGCCTATGGATATTTTTCAGGTGGATTTTCAAGAGAGATGTTACACTTGTAAGCAATTTATAGTTACCTTTTAGGAATCAATATGTTAATAAATTAGACCAAAACAAAAGCCTTCTATCCTGTTACAATTAGATCTTCTTACAATTAGACTAATGAATCAAAATATGTGCTTTGATGTCCCAAAGCTTTGAACTCATAGAGCTTTGATATAATGTTTAATAAACATACATTTTTACTCTTATGAACAACCTCTCAACCCACAGGGAATTAAATCAAGGGTATACATTCTGAACTGGAATAGACAATGTTTTTATTCATAAACCAATAACAAAATTTTGCTTTAAAATATAATTTTGTCAGAAGTTCTCCATTTTAGAATGAATGTTTAGATTATCAATAACTAACAATATGCCAAAATATAAACACAAAAAAAGAATCAGAATAATTACCAGTCATACCTTATTATGTGTCTGAGTCTGTCCAACCAGTATGAGGATATTGGATGAGATGATAGACAGGCAGAAGTTAATTAGTATTATGGATCTCTCAGAGCGTATGTACCTAGCCAGAGAGAGAAAAGTTACCCAACTTTAAAATCCAACAGAAAGATGAAGAATTATATATTGTGCAAACTGATGGCATTCATCTGGAAAAATAAGTACTGTAGCACAGGAATATTTACAAAAATAAAAAATATAAAAATAGTTTCTAAAATAAAAAATTACTTTTAGAGACCCAATTTTACAGTGGTATGGCATGTGCAAGCGTCCTTTAGAATTTTTTTTTCTTAGACATTGGTGGGACAGTATGGCATTTCTGATAGAGCCTAAGTTGCCCATCTGTTGTCATGATACACTTTTTTTTAACTAAACATATAAAGCTTCTTGGAAATATATCAATTAGTATAATACCTTTATATACGTGTGTGTGTATGTGTGTATGTATGTTTAGCATTATCATATGAATCAACCAATATAAACTTTGAGAACCAAAAAGAAAAAACTCAAATTGTGAAGTATTATTGTTATTTACTAGAAGGATACCATTACTTTCATGAAACTGTGAACACTTTTATCCACTCCAGCATTTGAATGTAATTAGGCTGCTACTCTTTATATTTTTCCTGAATAATTGTTCAAAAAAATGAATCTTTATTTCTAAAAATAAATCCAATCCACAAATGATAATTCACTATTAGGCTGGAAAATCACTTGACATCTGCCATATTTTACCCTTATGAAGAAGTGTTTATATACAGTCTGTTATATAGTTGTTAAGTGCACCAAGAATGTAAGCCATAGAGAAAACTGCTCAGAATCAAATGTTCTACCAGCTGTTTACCCTGAAAGAGTAACAGCTATTTTGCTTCACTGCATTCTGTGGTAAATCACTGAGTGACAGTAACAAAAAGACACTGTTGTATTTGCTGTGTGTTTAGGCCCATTCAATTTGTATTATAACGTGGAATCACATTCCACAGCAGGCATGAGCTTTTCTATGCAGCATTAGACAGGAGTGCCAATGATCTGGAGGCACTCTGGAAGGTAAAAATCTGTCAAACTTCTCTCTGTCTGTCTGTCTCTCTCTCTCCCTGTCTTTGAGGACAATCAAGGTAGAACCCCCACGTTTTATCACACATTTCCAAAAAGAACACAAAAGTAAGAATAACAATAAAATACACAAAGGAGTTTTTGTAATATAAAAAGAAATTCCCTTTGGTCACAAAACAAACTCAAATGGGACTAACTTAGATCAAATCTTAACACAAAATGGCCTCAGGGTTGCTGAACCTTGTTCCTGTATCATCAGTGGCAAACAATATAATAAACCACACACTGAGATGCTGAAGACATCATCAACTATTAATTGTCTCTTTTTTGTGGGTGGGGAATATAATATAAAAAGTTAAGGGGCTTCATAAAATTAACCCTTTGTTTGATGTTAATGGCTTCCATGGAAGCACAAACACACAGATGACATTATGAAAAGGGTTTTAGTGAAACTTTTTGTTCTGTAAATAGACAAAAATATGATAATGAAATATCCAGAATTGACTAGGCTGAAGTTTTTATATGTTTCTATTTTTATCAAAACTGAGCCCTATTGTTGCCTTCATAATTGCTATGAAATGTCTCAATTTTCACAAATTTCTTTACCATGTTAGATTTTTTAAACAAAATTTAAGAATGCTTTATGTTAATACAGTGATGACAAGGACATGCTTCATTATTTTTTCATGTAAAAATGTAACTCTGCCAAACTTATCTATAGGTGAAGAGAATATAACCTAATGTATTAAATTTTTGGTGAACATTTCTGATGAACTACATGCAACGCCACCAAATTTAAAAACAGCCTATTATGTATAAAATACTTGAGATGCTTGTACACATTACAACTCCTTAGAAATCAAAATTTCTAAACTTTTTACTGAGAATAAAAGGTGGTAGGAACCTAACATGCTTATTAGCATACAGTAATATTATACAGTACACAATATATACCCTACATGTATAATGGCATCCTTCTAGTAAGCAAGGATAATACTTCACAATTGTGTGGGGCTTTAAATTTCAGTTCTCGAAGTTTCTATTGGTGTTTCTGTAGGCGCTTATAAACTGCATTTAATTCATCATGTTATCAAGATTCACTTAATAATTCATGGAGTCTTGTCACTTCTTTCAAACTATGAATATTATTTCAATTCTATTTGTAGAGAATGAGTTGATGACCACTAACTTTTAGGGATTTAGATTTGTGTTGTTTCTTGGTACTCTCTTCTGTAATTCTCAAGTTCATCTCAAGTGTTAACAGATCCTTTGAATTGTTTTGGTAATTCTTAGAAAACTATTGTAGTAGTGACTTTCTTGAACTTTCTGCATTAAAGAAAACTTTATTATGGACTAATTAATTGTATGTTTCCTTGATTAAATGTACACATCACCTATCCTGACAATGTATATGCTAGTGTTAGTGATATGTATTGAGGGATAAAGAGAAGGTGGAATTGGTGCCTGAACCCTAAATGCTGATAAAAGGAATTTAGTTTTAAATACTTCAGTGAGCATGAATTATGTTACTATTGTGATTACCAAATTCCTAGTCTTTAAATGCTGCCTAATTTTTGAACAACTGTTATTTAAACAATTGTGGTAGAGGAAGTTGTCTACTTTTCAAATGTTTATCCTTCTTGCTTTTGCATTACTGAGACAATGTCTGCTTGAGTGAGCCCTGAACCCAAGATTCTGCTGCCTACAATGTCATGTTTAAACTAAGCATTTATTTCATTTCCTAGAGCTGGACATATTTTATCAGATTGTCCCACTTTGTCAGTGTCTCTCACTACTAGATAATTCCTTCACCGGAAGGAAGGATTTCTGTCATGTACCAGTGCTAATGGGTCAAGAGATACATAATTTTTACTTTTGTATGAAGCATAAAAACTCTTCATAACTTTGACAATTTAAATATGTGACAATTAATTCTTGCTCTCAAAAGAGTAAAAATTATAATGAAGAACAATACATTTTCTTAAAAGAACAAAGTAAAATGGTCTTTTTAAATAAAATTGTAATTCATTTTTCAACTGAATGTTTTTTATCTTAAGTGAATAAAGATTAAGATTTCTGAGGCAGAAATATCTACTTTTGCAATTCTAATATTACAAACATTCTGAAAATATTAGGTAATTTTCTATATACTAATATAGTTAAAAATATTTAGATTATTTTTCAATAATAAAAGTGGATATAAAAATGTTTAACATTTAAAAATTTAAAAATCCACTAGAAAAATCCAGTACTTTGGCCATATGTCTATATATTTTATCAATATGTGAGTAGACGATAAACTTCACAGGTCTAATTCTTAGTAACACAATCAAAAACAAGTCTTAAAAAATACTAGGCTTTCATATATCAGTAGATGTGATTTCAACTATTGTAGAAAAAAATTTTTCAATAACTTCCCCTTGTTTATGTATTTTTATGACTTCTTTTAATCAATTTGTCAAAGTCTGACTTCTTGGACACACTCAACCAACAGGCATTTTCTGGAATATATTGGTATTATGTTAGTGCTTCAATAGCATAGAAGGGTTCACTAGTTGTCTGGGACATACTGAAAGCATGTGTTTGAAACTTAAGTACTTGAGATCATATTTTTATAACAGATAAATTAATTTGACTGTACCAGTTAGACTCACAGCCTCCATAGCAATTGGGATAAATAGAAACCACAAATAGATTGAACTTGTGGTGTAAGAGTACTATGCTTGGGGTAAGCAACTTGTTGAAGGCTACTAACATTTGAAATGAGAATAAAAGTTTATGTGTGTACTGTTTATTTTCTTAACTCAGGCAAATATACAGGAAAATTAGGTAAACATAATTCATTTATTAAAGCTCAATCACACCAATTATAACTCTGTTGTAAAAATACTGCTTTCAGTAAATTAAGAAGACAGGAGACATTTAATAATTATCACATTCCTTGATTTAACTATGAACAACTAAGCATTGCATTTCAGGTCTATCAATTGATTACTTACCTCCATAATGCTGCATAGACAACTGCTAGGGTAATCAAGGCCAAGCAAGAAAGACCACTGCCTACTATTAGGGTAACTGAAGGTGTGCCAGAGGATTCCATGATCTGTGAATTAAACAAAACAAAAAAGAAACAAATTGGTTTTTAATAAATTAAAATAACTTCTAGACTCAGCAAAGCTAACCTATCACTCAAAAATAGCCTATATAGTTGTTATAGTTACCAGATAGTTACCCATGAATCCACTCTGTTCTTGCATTCTCAACCTCTAAAAATACTAATTGCAGCTTCCCCCTCTCTCCCACTGTGAAGTAATAAAGTCATTAGAGTTTTAAATGGTGGGCTATGGAATATTACATCCTTATAACTTTCGAAAATCAAGACCTTAAAACTACAACTTGGTCAACATTCACATGTTAAATTTTCTCTACCTAAAATTTAAAGCATCACTCATTTTTCTTTAACTAACTGCAGGTTAGTCATTTCACAATATGATTCTTGGTAAAATTTATCTAGATGCTACTATTTACAACTCATTATGTTACCTATATCTGGTATATAGATATTGAAGATTTTTCAAACTTTCTGACTTTTTGACAACTTTATTCTAAGTCAAGTATTCTCACATTTAATTGTACTTGCTTGGCTTCTGAGGATACAGAAGAAAATCAAACGTCAAATTTAAAACCTTCAAGTATATTTTGTGATTTTTTTTCAATGAACAAAATATGTGGAGATAATTATGACAATGCCAGTATCAGTCCCTAAATGCATGACCTTGAAAAATAAGCTTTCTGTCTTTTAAAACATATGTAAAGATTACATGCATTCACTGATCTGGAAGGTTTCTTTCCTTGGACACTTACATGACGTTAATTAATTAAATTTGTTGGTTTTCACATTGTTAACATTGAGAGTTTGAAGGAATACACTTTAAGCGTGTTCTAAAACCTCAAATATGCACATCAAATTGTATTAGTTTTTTGTCATCAAAATTAGTAAGAAGAGTGATGCTTATTTAGGCCAAATGTAGGCAGAATATCACATTTACCTGAATAATAATTGTTCAGCATTCATTCTGAGTTATATTTCCTCAAAATACAATTGATGAGAATATTATTTTTCTTTCAGACAGTTATGTACAGCTGTCTCTTTCAGAAACTATTTTTGAAAAACTATATACTATTAAGGAATAATTTTACAGTTCCTGACAGCCATGCTTTCACAAAAACTTCATTTGATTAACATATATATTTATTTATTTATATTTACATCCAAGGACACTTCCAGAAAACCTGTACTGAAAATATCCAATGCAGATATGCAATGTGTTTCACTATAGTGTCTGGGGTCTTCATTCTACTACTAACAATACCCTCTAAAATTCCCCAGAATATCTTTCCAGCTTTAAAATAAAGGTTAAGTTGACAATTATTTTTATTTGAAAGTTTGCAGCATATTAGTGACATGATTGGACTTCATCCTTGAAACTACACTGCAGAAATTTCAAGTTAGAAGACATAAAATTGAGTAGAATTTAGTTATAGAATACCAACTAGAATTCATTCCACCAAGCTACTATAGCTAAGGAGGAGACGAACCCAATTTTGTACCCTGCAACATTTTCCATTTCCCCATTTAAAATGCAGTTCCCTGGAGAAACACTAGCCACAATATCCCTGTCTTTGCGTTAAAGCCGTGTTTTCCCTTTGTTACTTACTATTTCTCTAGGTTGCTGAGCCAAAATGGCGAAGGTAGAGAGACGATCACATAAGCATTTCGTATGGGATGCATCGGTAAGCACAGTTTTACATCCCTGGGTGGACCACGTTCCCAAAGACTCGTTCCTGCAAAGGGGAGTGAGGGGGGAGGAAATCGGGATAAATACGCCTGATAGCCAAATCCGTAAAGAAGAAAATGCAGTTTAATTGAGAGAGTCGTCTACTGTAATTCCTGTACAGGAAAAAAAAATCTACTTGTTGTTGAACAGGATGTAATTTAGATGCATCTCCAGTAATGCAAAGCGAGAGTGGGAAAAAGCAAGCAGGCGGCGGTGCGGCGTGCAGAGAGCTGTCCAGCGCCGGAGGTGCTGAAACCGGGACTAGCTCTGTCCAGCCCTATGCGAGGAACAGCAGCGGCAGCGGCGGCAGCACGAGCAGCCGCCAGAGCGTTGGCAGCCACTTCCTATGCTCATCGGATTGTTTCAAATACTCAGGGTGTAAAGAGGCTTTTCATATTTTTCTACCAGCTCTGATTCCCGTCCCATATTTTGGACCATAAATGCTGGCTTTTAAAATGCGGATTTCTTTGAAAAGCCTGACTAAAAGGTTACATAGCTTGGATTGGGTGATAGGATCTTCTCTGCTGCTGGTTAGGGATTTTTCCTCCTTTTAGAATAGCTGCTGTGAAAATTTCACCCTGGAAACGGGAAGCAGCAGCAGCGGCATCAGCTGGTTCCGACTCTCATTGCCTTTGCCTGGTATCCAGGGGAGGGGTGGGTTTCAGACCTAAGCTTCCTACTCCACACTTCACTCAGTCCAGCTCGCCTCTGACGTCCTTGACATTTCTTTCCCTCAACTGCTTCTTTGCCCTGGGGCAGAAGCATTAAGCTAACCCCAAGTCCGCTAGAACATTCAGAGGAATAACCCCACCCCAAAGTCCAGTAGGAGTAGGGAAGAGAGCCTGGTTCAATTTTCTCTTTGGTGTAGCCATTTAAAATGCTAAAGCATATGGTTTATTTCCCACCCCAGCAGAACAATAAAAATGGTATCAACCTACGTCTTGTTCGTGGTGGGGGGGATGGGGGAGAACCCTTCCACCCCCAGCAGAACTACACTACAGGAAGAGAGAAAAAGAAAAAAAAAAAATGCTATAGAGCTCAACCAATCAACTTTATTATCATTACACGTGTTCTGTACTGAATGCACCAATTGTCACCTCCCCTCCCCCAGGCATGGAAATTATCCAGCTAGCAAACCTGTATGTGTGTGTGTTTAAATTTCAAACCAAGTTACTATCTGTGTTAAAAATTACTTCAAAACTCTAAGAGAAAAACACATGGCTTGATGTTAATTTTGATATGGTGCTTTTGATTTTGCTTCCTCCATCTCTGAATGCCTGAAGCTATTGGGTTAAATATGCATGCAATTTCAGAGAGATTTCAATGAGACAGGTTTCTTTGTGACAGTTGAACTTCCAAGTTGAGCTACAGAATATAATTCACACCATCCTTTTTTGGTATCTACCAGCAATATATTTTTAATATTCATGATTTGATATCATTAATATTTATGACTTAATATACTCTTAATTACAACTTTTTTGAAGAAGAAAATGCACTGTATTCGAAGAGAGTTAGATAAAAATTCTACCTAACTTTACCCCAATACTTCTAAGTATTGGCCATTTTTGAATGTGTTAGGTCTCTTTTCTTTCTCATAATGTCATGCAACCATGCCAATTTTTTAAAAAAGCAGTTATATTATCAACTGCAACAGTATTAAACTCCAATTCTCCCTAACTGTAGCAGCACATCAATTTACTTCATTAGCTCTCTGTCTCTTATCTTCCTGTGACAAACAGTTAAGGCCAAATGAAAAGCATTTATCTCAGCTGATCAAAATTTAAAGAAGAAAGATACACTTAAGAGAATCTGACATGCTTTAAAACATAACATCTGCATTATTCATACTGGATGGCAGCTTTACTTTAATGCAGTACATATGCTTTCAAGTGGAGTCCAGTACTTACACTTTTCAGTTATGCAGCTATGCCCAATAAATCAATTCAATATCTTAACAAGAAAAATCTTTATGTAAATAAAGTCTCTTATGAGACAAAGTTATATACTTATATCCATGTAATCAGACTTCATTACTCAAGATGATGTTAGCATCAACAAACTTTGACTGTTACATATGAAGTCTATATTCAATATCATGTTGCTAGATTCTGAAGATCATGTAAATTTTATATGACATGTTTAGAAATGTGAGTCCATTTACTTTACTTTGTGCAATGATTGCATTGCTGACCTGGCCGAGCCCCAGGCAAAACTGGGAAGTAAGTAACGCCGATGTTCATGTTTTAGTCCTTCACTCACTCCAAGCATGAAATGCTTCTACTCTCACTGGGGCCCTTTTCATGCACACTTTCTCTAGGCTACATCACCTCTGTCCTTATCATTCTTTAGAACTATATTCCCCTCACTGACTTTATCTGATTAAACTAACATACAATAGCATCTGAGTGAGTGAGTACAGCTTAATGTGCTTTACCAAATTTAAAAGAAGATATATAAAACACAATACTGCATCTGCTACAAGAAGAGCAGAATCTGGAGCAGGTAAGTAGGAGAGAAAACCTTGAGAGGTGAGGAGGGGGGTGGGTAACCACCAAGTTCTGCATTTCATCACTCCCAAGAGATAAGTAAGATGTGTGATATCATTCTGATGATAAAATTTATATTGTTTCATTAAACCTCTTGGTACTTTTAAATCATATAAAACTCATGAGAGTTTTTTTTAACTCACTAGCATACATATAACTATTATTACAAACTATATAGTATGTGTAGTCTGTATTTTCAAACTTTTCATAGCTTATTCCTACTGTAAAAAATTCTTTGAAAGCATGGTACACATGTCTGATTGATTTCAGGGAGGCCTTGTAAAGCAAATTGATATGTGGCAGAGCAAATGTGAAGCAAAACAACTTCTCCATTCTACACAGGGCAAGATTTCTGAACATGTGAAGTATTCCAGCAGTCACATTATTCTTCCAATGTCACAGTTTTGCATGCTATAATAAATGTATATCTGTGCATTATTCTTAATTATGGCGTCTAGTTTGTTATCGATAGGGTAAACAAAAACAGTGAAATATACATGAAAATTAAAGATATAAGAATAACTGATGATATCAGAAGCAAAAACAGAATGATGATGCAGGCATGTACATCATACTGAAAATAACATATTTACTTTTCATAGTGTCCTATCTGGGCATTAAGTCATTTTTTTCCCAAATGGTTTTCAAATGTAACTATGTTTGCAGAAATTCCATACAACCCATTCTTTGTTGACTACACCTACATTCACCCATGTTAGCTGTTAGCTGTAAACTGTACCTCTTCTTCTTCTCCATATTAGCCTGGCTAACAGAAGGAGCCTTCCTGTCCCAAGTATTCAAAAGTACATATTCAAAAACACAGAATGATGTGAAAATATAAGACACAAAGTCTATTACTTTCTAGCTTAATATTTACTTGATGCCTTTCCCCGGTTTCCTAGGAGTCTACATGGTTTCTTTTTGGATCTGAGTATTTGGTTGAGTTTTTGGTTTCATGAAGTTTTAAAACATGTGTTTATATTTTCTGGCATTTAAAATTAAAGAGAAAAGTTATCAGCTTACTCCAATGAAAAGCTATTTAGTAAAAAGACTGATAGCAAAAATTCATAGTGACACATTTCAAAACTGTTTCAAGAAATCATACTTTTGATCTTTCCAAATACCAATAAAACTAGATATTCTACTTCAGTCTTCTATAAAACTGTTTATTCTCTTCATAATAAATCAGCATGTAAATTATTTATTATGAATAAGTTATACACTTTAGGAATTTTATTAACTCTTGGGATATTAGGAATACATTTATTCAAAATCAAAATAGCTGTAGCAGCATTTTTTTAAATTTACACAGAATTTCTAACTACACTACCCTCACATTGTATGTGTACTGACAGAAAGTAATTGCTTTCCAAATCATAATAATAGTTAATTTCTAAAATTTAGGCAAATCTATATTACTTTTGGTGCATATGCCTTACCCAAATGATGATGTATATATGGCTTTTGGTATAAATTATTCTCATAATATAGAAGGATTTTTAGTCTAGATGTGAAAATGTTCTCAATTTTGAGCAAGAACACTCTTCGACGTTAATTTCTACTTTAAAAGACATTGCAAATATTGAGAACATTGTTTTTTCAGCAGCTGTTACTATGTCAAAATACAATGAATCATAAAATCAGGAAGTTTTACTAGAAGTAACTTTAGTGATCATCTAGCCCATTGATTTTCAACACTGAATGTACATTAAAATTACCTGAAGAGCATTGAAAATTAAACCCTATGATAGGACTTGGGATATTACTTTTTCAAATGTCCTTCAGATGATTTTAGTGTGCAGTCAGGGTTGAGAACCACTGATCTTTTCCAAACACTTAGTTTTATAGATAAAGAAAGTGAAGTTTAGTGAATTTAGAAACTTGTTTTAAGTCACAGAGTGAGAAGCAAAGCTGGGTTTTTCATTTCCAGGTGAATTTTAATGCTAAACTTTTATTGTAATCTGTTTTAAAACAGAATGTACTGAACATGTCCTATGAAATTATAAGAAGATTTAAAGATCTAATATTGTAAACACATATTTTATGATAAAAAGAGTAACACCAACATAAAACATATATATGCACTTCATTCACTTGGATAAGATTTAGAAGCAGGTACTTTCCCATCACCAGAAAGGACAGTTGTCATCCACTATGTTGGGCCTGGAGTTAACAGCAGTTTCTTCATACCATAACAACAAGGTTCTAATTTGTTATCTAAAAATTAGCTAGTTCCAGGAATTCTCTAAACTTAGATCTTCCCCCATGCTCCTCTATACCTGTTAATGCTTTCCATTCAACATCATAATATTAGTTGATACGTTCACCTTGCTTTCTTTCATTTATAAAATTAACACTCTACATGCCATATGAGAATACTAGTGCTTTTGAGAACTATATTATGTCGACTTTGAATCCCTGACACTGTTTCTCACTTACTAGTCTTAATAATAAATGTTCAGCTCATGTAATGATTTTTTCTTTTTTCTTTGAGATGGAGTCTTGCTCTGTTGTCCAGGCTGGAATGCAGTGGTGCAATCTCGACTCACTGCAACCTCCGCCTCCTGGGTTCAAGCAATTCTCCTGCCTCAGCCTCCCGAGTAGCTGGGATTACAGGCACATGCCACTGCACCCGGCTCATTTTTTGTATTTTTAGTAGAGACAGGGTTTCACCATGTTGTCCAGCCTGGTATCAAACTCCTGACCTCAGGTGATCCACCTGCCTTGGCCTCCCAAAGTGCTGGGATTACAGGTGTGAGCCACCACACCCGGCCCATGTAATGATCTTTTACCTTTTAATGGATAACTTTTAATACTGAGTTTGATCTAGACAGATTGTTTTTGTCGTAATTCATTTGCAGTCCTTTAGCATATAGCAGACATGTAATCTGAAGAGTATCAATAGCTCTTAATAGGGTCTTCTACTTGCTACAGTCTTCAAACATCATTTAATGATGAACTCTGTAGGATTTCAGCATCCTGTGGTGATTATGTTCAATTCAACAGTGAGGCTTGAATCTTTACTAACCAGTCAATATGTATTTAGTGGGTGCTTTTCAAATACCAGATGAAGTAGAAGACACATGAACAAAATGTAGTTAGTTTCTTAGAGAAGCTGACAGATGACTATACACAATCTAATAATATGTTTTCTGCCTAATCAGTTCTACAAATTATCCCAGAAAATGTTGTCAGTCCTACCCTTCTATTTCAAGCCACCATCATCTCTTGCCTGGGATAATCTCTTCATTGTGTTTCTCGCCATTTACCCTCAAGTTTAACTTCAATAAAAATCCAGAGAGATCCTGTCGACAATTATGTAAACTCCACTAAAAATCATGTCACTCCTTTGAAAACTATCAATGGTTTTTCTGATCTCACTCAGAGTAAAAGACAAAGGTCTACTTATAATGGTCCTTACAATGGTCTACAAGGAATTATACTATCTGGTCTCTCATTGGCTTCCCACATTCATCTCCTAACACACATATATTCGCCCACCACTCCCAACTGCTCTGAGCTCCTTATTGGCCTTTCTTGGCATTTTGTGCTAGCTATTCCCTTGGCCCAGAATGCACTCTTCAAAAATATTCACATTACCTGTTTCCTCACATTATGTAGGCTTCTGCTTTTATGTCATCCTATCAGAGATGTTATCACTGACTATCCATCAGTAACTTCCCATCTGTAGTAGGTAAAAAATGGCTACAAATTATATTTAACACTTCCCATCAAGAGACGGAGTCTATTACCTCCTCCTCTGAATCTGGATATATGTATGGTGACTTGAATTGATCAAAAGAAGGCAGTGGAAATGATGTGTGACTTGTTAGCCTAAGCCTCAAGAGGTCTTAATGGTGTCCACTCTTATCATCTTGAAGTGCTTTATTATGTGAGGTAGCTCAGGCTAGCCCTACTGAGGATGAGAGACTGGCACCAGCCACTAGACATGTTAGTGAGGTTATACGCAATTAACCAGCCCCAAGTTAAGCTTCCAGATGGCAGCCTCTTTAATTATACCAGATGAAACTAACTGGCTGAGCTCAACCTAATAGCTACGCCATAACATTTAAATCAAATAATAATGGTTGTTGTTTTAAGCCACTAAAATTCGAGGTGACTTGTTATAAAATAGCTGATACACAATACAAGCACTTTCCAAAGTGCCCTTTGCCCTTACTCTGATCTGTTGTTGCCCATTGCACCTATCACAGCTGATGTATTATATACTTTCCCATTTGATTTTTGCCCATCTTTGCTCACTAGAATGTACATATCATGAGGACAGGTATATTGTTATGTTCACTTTGGTATTACCTGATTCTAACATACTGCTTGACACATAGTAGGTGCTTAATAAATATTGGTTGAATAAATAGCTGTTAAAGATTTTGATTTGATATAGTTGGAGTTTCCTACATCATTCATTCATTCATTTATTCAACAAATATTTATTCATCATTAAATATGATGCAGGTGCTGTGCTAGGTTATTGTGTAGACATATTAGATTTCTACTTGGCCACTTTTCAGAGCTCGAGAGCTTCACTGGAAATTATCTCACAGGTGTAGTGTCACTGCTTTTGTGTCATAAAATACACATTAAAACCAAGAATATGTCACTCTTGAGGTCATGAACATTATTTACAAGAATGGTAGCACCAGTTTTATTGCCAGTAACATCTTTTTTTGTTGTTGTTTTAAATTGGAAATAGTGAGAGTAGAAAGGAGTATGGTAAGAAATAACATTAAGGAAGCCAATCTACTGGGTTATAAATATGTATAAGTATCTTTACAGCATGATTTATTAATAATTAACGGTTAAAATATGCTACCTGCCATCATTAATTAGTCAACAGGCAAATCATCATCACACTAGTGAAAATAGCTAACATTTATTCAGGGTCCAGTCAGTGTTAGGTGTTGTGGTGAATAACACACTTTAAAAAATTTCTTACACTAAATACCAAGGTAAATATTATTGTTATTTCCTCTATAGGAAAATGGAGATAAATTAAGCTCCCACATCCATCCAGGATCTTGAGGACCTTACAGATGAAACAGCCTAGAGGCAAAAGTTGCCTGGATATCTCAATTTCTGTAATATAGCCATGCAAGCCCTGGACTGCCTATCTTTGGTGGTGCTATTTTATGTTTAAAATAAATAAATGGAGCCCACAGGTTGTGACTTTCCTAAGGACATCTACCTGGTAAAGGGTTGTGCCAGGAATTGAGCTCAAGTATGACTCCAGAGCAGATTCCCTTTACCCTGTTCTCTCAGTGAGGACTAGACACAGTGAGAGAGCACAGCCAAAGTTAGGAACATACAGGAAGAGTACTCAGAAATGGTGAAAGAAAACTAGTAATTAATATCTCACAGAAAATAAGTGGAGAGAATTTCACTAAAAAGTGATTGATCAAAGGTCAAATAAGAAAATAAAAATATGAAGCTTGAGATGGTCATGGTGGGCATGGAGGAGGCCATTGAGCCATTAAGAGCCTTAGGAAGAATAATTTTAGCAGAGGGGTCAGATATAAATTAGATTGCTAGAAGTTAAAAAAAGAAATCTTGTGATATCAAAGAGTTTATCAACAAAAGTCAAAAGACTGAATGCAAGTCAGATAGCACAAAAAATTATATTTTTGTCAAGTATGCTTTTACTTTGAGGTGGGGATCAATCTCCCAACAGGTTACAATGCAGATCAAAACAGTCCAGGAGACAGAGATCATGACAGGATGTAGTGATGATGAGAAAATAATCTTATAATTTGATTCAGAATAATGATGAGAGTGTTAATATTAAAAGGAAGGAAAGACAGAAAGTATCTTCTATTGAAATTGCAAGGGGAAAATCATTATTGCTCTCAATGAGATGGAAGAAAATCCAAGAATAAAGTTTAATTTATGTAATTTTAAGTATTTTTTTCTCAGAAAATTTCAAAACATTTGCTTCAGCCATTAAAAAACGGCAGACATTTTAAAAAACAGACAATTTGAGGGAATAGAAATGGAAATTTGAATAAAACTGAAGAAGAGTACTGCTATATACATTAGTTCATGGATCAATTATATGTGATGTGTTTAATAAAACATCAAAATACATTTTAGTTCTGTATGTAACTAGATTAAAAAAGATTTCCAAGGTTGTTCTTGGGTGTAGGTAGGGGAAGATCCTAAATTATTTTTTCTCTCATTTCTTTTCAAAATACTTTAAAATGCCTCGAACATTGATCATTTGTTAATCTAAAAGCCATAAAATAATTCATTCTGTTTGTATATTTTTTCCTCAAAAAAACTGTTGGTCTGGGCTAGGAACCAATTTTTCGCCTAATATAATTTGCAACAGTTGAGATGCACAACCTTGAAAAAGCAGAATTATTTAACTAAAATAGAGCACATTTAAACATATGTTACTTTCTACACTAGTTTTCAAGTGATCTGGACAAAAAGCCACTCCAGAGATTTGACCGGACCATTGTAAAATTTATAACATAGTGCATCCAAGATCTCACCAATTTAATATCAACTAGCTCACTTCCTGACTCTAATGGCTTTTACTTCACAAACCTTTTAAAAATGATTAATCTCAAATATGATACATTTAGAAAAATACACATGAAAAAACATGAAATATATATTGAAAAAATAATTAAGAGTAATTATCTCAGGGTGACAAATTATAGGTATTATTGTTTGCTCTGTTATATTTTTATACTTCTCCATTTTTCCAGTGTAACTATATTACTTCTGCAATCTGAAAAAAAAAATTCTTTTGAGATTCAAAAGAAAAAGGCCAAGTGCAATGGCTCACACCTGTAATCCTAACACTTTGGGAGGCTATGGTGGACAGATTACTTGAGGCAAGGAGTTCGAGACCAGCCTGAGCAACATAGTGAAATCCTGACTGTACTAAAAATACAAAAATTAGCTGGGCATGGTGGTGCCTGCCTGTACTCCCAACTACTTTTGAGGTTAATGTAGAAAGATCGCTTGAATCCAGGAGGTCAAGGGTGCAGTGAGCTGAGATCATGCCACTGCATACCAGCCCCTGAGTGACAAAGTGAGACTCTGCCAAAAAAAAAAAAAAAAAAAAAAGAGAGAGAGAGAGATTCAAAAAAATTATGTAAAATAATACCAAACTAACACAGACAGCTATTTATATTTTACACCTTTTTCTCCTTTCTTTACTTTTGAAATTATAATTATGGTGTGGCTTGGCTATACCTGACTGAGTCATGCTTTTGGCATGGGATCATGGGTCAGCTTGCTTTCTAAGTTAAAAATCTGAGCACATTCCTGCAAGGCTACCCCAAAATGGAAGGATAGTGCTTAAAAATAACTGTTGAGACATCAAACTGAGATATCAATTAAGGGTTAAGCTTAATTCACTAAAAACTCTGCTTCATTAGTTCTGGGATGGGGCCAGGAATATGTGATTTTGATATCAGAGTCTTTAGTTTCAAAAAACAGAAATTTTAACTCTTGAGTTAATCATACTTCAAAATTATGATTCATCATTGCCTACATACAAAATGCAAAAATAAGGGTTCACTGGACATTTATATAAACAGCTATTTGAGTGAAACGATATTCTTATAATTTTGAAAATGGGAGTCCTCAGTATTAGAGCAATGTTTCTTTTTTAACTTCCTTAGTGTACTATGTGCAAGTTGGGAACTCAAATATTAGTAGTAGAGAGAAAATAGAGATGGGTGGAGTGGCTGCACGAAATATTACTATATGTAAGCACTTTTAAATGAAATAAAGAAATATGAAAAACTGCATTCAATTAAAATGTAAACTAGGAAAATAATCTGTTCACCTTAAACTAAGTGGTTCATAATCATATATATACTAAACTAATATTAATTTTGCAACAATCCCAATATCACTCATTTGAAACTATTGAATTCTTTTTTTAAAAATCAATATTTCAGCATTGCAGTGTTCAAAGTGAAAAAGCTCGTTCAATAAAAGCCAGCTGAAAATGTTTTGTACCTACTCAATAATAGAAATAAGTACATTCACCAAATCAAAATTTGAAATAATGGCTTCAATAAATATTAGATAATATTTTCTTTTCAATGTTTTTTCCTCTAATTGAAATTACTTTAGATTTATTTGTGATCAGTTTCAAAAAGCTTGCCATTTTTCTACCTTTTTACATGATCTATATGATCTATGAAATAAACATCTTTGTCCTGCATATAATCTTTAAGTTGAATTTTACTTTTAAATTCCAGATGTGATAATAAGAAACTTGGCTTCTACACAACCAGAGTACTGTCATCAGGACATCACCAGCCTAACCTGGGATCCAGTGTGCTCATTTATAAAATTAGCCAGTTGCATGCTCTATCCACTTTATAGGAATATCGTGTTGATAAAAGTCAAGATAATGAATATCCCGGACAATTATTTATTTAGTGGTTGTATGGACAAGGCATTATTAGTAGGGACAAAAATAATTTCTCTACAAATTGAAAGTTCTATATAAATACAACATATTATCACGATGATCACATGTACAATTATTTTTGACAAGAAAGCCATGTCAGAGGGGTTAAGTGACATGAACAAGATTATCCATCAAGGATTATCCCTCTTATGTTGGCACCATAACATTTCCAGGTTTGAGAGGAGAATACCTGAGCCCAGATTTGGAAGACTCAAATTTAAGAGAAATAAAATAATTAATGTATTTCATGAAGAAATAAAGAAATTTAATGAATTGATTTTCACCATGAATTTCTTTTTTTCTTACTGTTAAGATTTTAAGAAGTTTAAATGGAACTCTGGATAACCAAATCTTTTGGGATCAGCTAAACCACATATTAAGTCATGGGTGGCCAGTAAAATATGAACAGAAAAATTATATGCTACCGAAGGGAAGAATTCATATATTCTGGCATGAAATGCAAAGAATGTAATCTTCCTATCTTCTAAACACTACCATTACCAAGAAATTATCAGTGGAAACCTTCCACTCAGAAGAACACCTTCTTTCAAAATTATGAGTATTTAAAATAAGTGCCCTGAGAAGTATAGTTAAAAAGAACCATATACGAAATTCCACAAAACTAGTAATTTCTATAAACTTCTGGCTTTGGGGAAATATGAAGAAGGACCTCTTTTGTAAGAGGCCATGAATTACACACTGCCTATAAAACAATAAGATGTTAGGTAAATGAGGGAAGAGTAGCTGCTTCAGTTGACAAGCGTTCACAGAAGAAGCACTGTCCTAAGGTTCCAGAACACCCTGTATCACCCACCTGGCCAGCCAGTCATTTGCCAGACTACTCACTGTTTTAGCTGCATGGCAACTACACCAGAGAGTAGCAGTGGAAAAGCAATATAAGTCTGTGCTTACTTCCTCAATAATAGCACATGCTGAAAGGAAAACAAAGAGGAAGGAGTGTCTTTAAATGAATTTTGTAGTATGGCATTTCCTAAATACAGTGCAAGTTGATATTTAAATTCCAATAAAAGATCTGAAAGGGCAATATTCTTTTATGAACGTATGGGTAGATAAAATTAAGGCTTTTTTGATGCTGATTTAGACAGCCTAAAATAATGACTATCATAATTTAAAGAATAGGAAATTTTGCTTTAACCTCATACATTTGAAAATTTATATAAATGTTTTAGTCCCTCTTTTGTGCTATGGACAGTACTGCACACTGGGATTGCATAGATTAGAAGATAAACATAGTCCCTTTGCTCAAGTGTGGTGTGGAGACAAATATACAGCTTGTCCACCGACAACCCCAATTAAGAAATCTGAAACCTACAACCCAATCAGAAATTGTAGGAGTGTGGATAGTGATTTAGTGATAAAGGGGTGTAGATAGTGATTTAGTGATAAAGGGGAAGAATGCATCATTCCATTTCTCAAAAAGCTTGAGAAATATGCATTGCCATGTATTTAAATAAATATATACTCTATCTTCCTATCATGCTGTTACTCCTTTGAACTATTACTTCTTAATATGTTAATAAGGGAAGTGGTTTGAAATTTCTTGAAGGGCAGCGCTGAACCCTCAATGGCGTAATTAACATTTTAATGAGCAGTGAAGGCCTTTCCTGTTTTGGATCTCAACTGTGTGTCTCCTGAGTGGATCTCAATCTGTTGAGCTCAGAGAATGAGGTGATTCTATCTTAGTGAGATTTTAAATAACAATAGATCATACAGGCCACAGTTTCAGCCTGCTACTGCTCTCTCCTTTGTTAGGAAAGTTCACTTGTATTCTGATGTACCACATCAGAGTACAATGACTACTTTCAGCTCTGGTTTCTTTTTTGGTATGCACAGAAACTGTACGCATAACAGTCATAATCCAGGAGTGGCTAATTTTTAGTAACTGACCAAGTAATTGTAAGTTCTCCTTATTTGCAAGGTACAGTAGCTAACTGCTATTTGGAGACACAACAATTTGCAGAAGAAGTATTGGATAATACTTGTAATTTAATTATTTGCAAATCAAGCTTTGCCTAATACACCAAAGGTACGAAACCTCTTCATTGGAGACAAGTTTGAAAAGGTCATTAAAAAGCTATTTGTTTTGAGATTTCAGAAAGCAAAGTACCTAAAAAAATGGTCTAATGGACAGAAAAAAACTTTTATTCTCAGAGAAAATCTCCCAAAAACATTAAAAACCAATATCCTTATTTTCATTACTAGGCAAAAGAAGAAAAAAAAACTGTCATGAGAAAAATTCCTGTGGGAAAGCTTCAAGCATCTTAAAAATGAGGCTTATAATGGAAAAGCCTTCTCTGTCATAATTAATATAGCATCACTAATATAAAACCCAGGCTGCTTCTCCTGTCTTTATAACTCATTTCTGACTACTGCAGACCCATTACTATAATGTACATTACACATATAGCACAATATAGTTTATATTATTATTTAAGGTAAAGGATGTAAAATGTAAGGGAATTTTGACACTGATTTCTTGGTGATAAGAATGCATAGCTCAAGTTTTCTCTAAGATGTGAGCATTAATAATCCACATAGATACTGAAGTAGTTCAACCACTACTTTAAATTTTGCTTACTGATTCAGTCATAAAACCAAGGACACCATGCACATTTACCTGTGAGTTACATAATCTTTTAGCAAAGATTTAGCAAAGTTGAAAACTCCAGTTGTGTTCCTTGTGTCCTTCAGCTCTGTTTTTCTCTTACCTACAGCCAAGAATATATACACATGTATATATGTACACACACATATATACCTATATACACACACACGTATATATATATATATATATATATATATATATACGTGTGTGTGTATTTTTAAGTTAAAGCATAGAAATGTCTAGCATATTTAGTTGATTGGTTTTATGAAGAATGGTTGTCATATGGTGACTGTTACTGATATAAAGTTCATCTGGAGAAGAGGACGCCAAGTTCTCCAAAAAGAATCAGGCATCAATACAATGTTCCAGGATATAAACAACCAATTTTTGTAGCCAACTATCTAGGATACACAGAAAACCCTAGGAATTCCAAACTCTTCCTAGTGAAGAAACATTGAGAAAGACCGGTACAAAGATTGTTTATTCTCAGGGTAGCACATAAAATTTACTTTACTAACAGAACAATTTTCATCTTTGCAATTTCAAGATAAAGGAACAAACTACCTATGTTCAAATTTCACTAACTTAAGCTATGCTATATATTTTCAATGTCCTAGAGTTTAACTGTGGCCACTCTAAGAGACAGACTGAGATTTAAAGAACAGCCCTAGGAAGGGAAGTACAGTAACTACATTGTGGAGCAGTAGTTTTATATTACTAAAGTGGCTTCTGTACCTTTTTACAAATGAGAGAAATACTGACAGAAATTTATGGCAGGTACAAGTGAAAGTGATGATATTCCATGAAATAAATGCAGTTTTTGAGAAAATATTTAAGAACTCAGTTGTTGTACAGAAAATCCATTGTGTATGACCCCATAAATTCTCATTGGCTCCGATTTTGTCTACTGACTACAACTTTCATTCTCTTCCTAAGGTATCTTCACCTAATTAGGCTCATTTTGCTACCAGACTTGCAGAACAAAGCCTCCTATAAAAACAAACAGATTCTCTATAGAAAGTCAAGCACAAAGAACAGGAACAAGAAGAACTTACTTTTTCAGTCTGCTGGGTATATTACAGTAGTTAGGTGTGATTTCTCTTAGGCTGTTAATGCAGATGTCATTAAAGTAACTTATCCTATTAGTATCCCTAATAATTAGGTTTTCTTTCATATCTTACATGACAATATAGAAAATACTATTGTTCACATTTATGCACCTTCTCTTTTCTTCTCCCTCTTCCCAGAGTGTCAAAGTACAGGCTGAAGTGATTCCTATTTATATATCCACACTGGACAGAATCTGCCAAGGGCTACAGTTTATATAAAATTATGATATGAGGGGGACATTATAGATGGAAAAAATTTACTAATAGAGTCTAAGATTGGACTGTTATTTAAAATGTGAGTAGCTCCTTTTGGTACCAGAATCAGTCCTGACGTTAATGGGTTCAACATATTCAATTGTACATACTTATAGACCACTTTGGAGGAAAGGTCTCATATTAATATAAGAACAACTTCTTTTTTTGTCTTTTTTTGCAATGTAAGGCAGGCTTGAAAGGTTTTGACTTCTTCTTTTTTTTTTTTTTTTTGTCAGCTGGAGTTAAGGCTTTTACATGTTCACCAGAATATGTTAATGTTATATGCAAAAATATGTATATCTCAAGACCTCCCAGATATGAGAGCTTTGCATCCTTGTTTAAGAGTGAGGCGAGCTCCTCATCACCTGTATCATACTCATTTAGTTTTTTTTAAAACTGAATACCTGTCTGTCTAAAAAGCTGGGGAAAAATGCTATAGTTACATTACTGTTAATTCTGTCCAGTTCACATCTCACTCTCAGATCTACGTCAGGGAGGACTCAAGGACAGAAGGCTCTTCAATCTGACTGCCAAAGGGGCTGTGAAGAGAAGCAAATCAGGGTTTTTAATCATCCTATAGCACAAAGGAGAGAACATGCTTACATCAAATTATTAATCTCCCATGGCATCTTTCAGGTAAATCTAAGTCCCTGCCCAACCAGAGTTGAGATGTGCTGCAGCCCATGGGGCTGGGCGACACCCTGCTTCCTTTCCTTGCAACCAGGCCACCTTGAACAGAGCACTGCATTCTTGCTATATCACGCAGCCTTACTTACCAGCCATGTTACTGAACTATAGATAATTTATGACTGCAACACTCAGAAATAAGGGGCAGAAAAGCAGATGCTCAAGGCCAGATTTTGCCAGTTTTATTCTATGTTGCCTATCACATCATAAAAATCTTTTTTTTCTCCCATACAAGTTTTATTTGCAATCATTATACAGATTTATCTTAGAGGCTTGGGGTAAAAAGGGCAGTATCTCAGACCTTTCCTTCAGTACAAGTACTGATAAGAACTCTCTGCTTCTTGGTGACTACTGCCAGGACCTCAGCTCAGCCTCCAAATGACCGACTATTAAAAAGGACCACATTTTCTTGTCTCCAGATTCACCTTTATTTACGACTCTTTTGGGTGAGACATCTGCGCCACCCACTCAGGACTCAAAGAAACTGAAGGTCCCTTTTCTCACATTCATTCAGTTGGACTTGCTCCAGAGTGGCTGAAAGGAAACATGATGATTTATATACCCCTATTGCTTCAAGAATAAGAATCATGCCTCCTAAATGTCTTTTCCCTTTTTCCTCAATAAGCCCCTTCCCAGTTTCTGGACAAGACAGGTTACAGGTAGGACAGCATTCAGGAGTGAGAGTTGTGTGGGCAGCTCTGTGCCCTCTTCATCTCCAAACCTGAATGCGTGCAGTTCCTCTCTTTATCCAGATTGACAGATTATTTCATCATTCCACTGAAGACCACCATTTAAAATAGACAATAACACCACTGGGACCCCATGTCCCTGAAAGCTAATCACTGTCACTCTACAACCAATGGTCAGCCTCTTTCTGGTTATTCTGTCCAAGCCGATTCTTTCTGCCTTGGAGATTTTCCAGAGCTCTCTAGGCTATTTTTCTGTTTCTCTGGAACTGAACCCATGGGGCTTCATTTTCTGTGTTCTTGGAATGGCTTTGCTCTGGAGATAGCCCAGTGTTCTCTCCCTCCTCAGGTCACTCACAGTGGATTCTGTGGTTCGGGACTTTTTCACACTCCTAGTTTTACCTGTGGGTGTTGCTCAGTGTTTAGTTCAGCCTTATTTACATTTGTGCTTCCTTTCTCCTGGGCCGATGGCAACAGGAGTACCCTCTGATAACCACAACCAGGGCCTGTAGGTAACTTTTCCCTTAACAAGGTGTTAAAAGCCCTTCAAATTACATTACTTGGCTTTTTGATAGAAACCTTGATCCTAAATCAGTCTTAGGTAAATTTTCTCACTAATTCTAGGTATTCAAATGCAAGTGGCCCCAAGCAATAGTCTTTAGAGATGGAAAGTAGTTCTGTTTAGACCTATTAGGGTCTTTCAATCAAGTACATTCTTTAGCCTAGAGCTTTTCATCCATCCATCCACTTAACAAATAAAGTGCCTACCTATTTTCAGGCAATTACTAGGATTTTGGGAAGGTGAAAATGATACTCTGCCACCAAAACCATTATAATATTTAAAATAAAGTCAGTATTTAGTAGCAGCCAAAAAATATGCTGTGTAGGATACACACTTATTTAGATTATAATCTCCTATCCCAATGGAAGACGAAAAACCATCTTTGTGTCCTAGAAAGTAGTCAAGGTAGATAGGAGATTTGAATTTATATTAACTATCTATGTCAGCTGTGGAAAAGAATTAAAGGAGTTAGCAACATCCAGTTTGAGGATTATTAGGGCCTAAGAAATTTATTTCACTGTGTGGAAGACAACCACCCACTCTTCTCCTCCTCTAACAAGCCAGAGAAATTTGGTTTTAACCAAGGGAGGAGATCTTTAAGTCAGCTGTAAGAATATTATTGTGAGAGAATGGACAAAGCCACAACTAATAGGCTTTGGATGATTTTTTTTTTAACCTGTCCCCGAAGTCTTTGAAATGTCTCTAATGAGAATTGTGGGATAGGCTACATTATATCTCTTATAGGTCTTATAATTCTTTATTCAAGCAAAAAAGGTTGAGTTTAGTTAATATTTTCCTGAAAACACTTCACTTTTGAAAGCAATGGATATTTCATAAAAGGACTGAATTATCTATAGAGATATATCTATCTACATCTATCTACACACACACACACACACACACACACACACGTTTCTGTTCATTTTGTCATCTTTTCTTTCTTTTTTAAAGCTACAACTAAGAAAAAAAGAAAATGGGAACTAGAACATATATTTTCTTTTTAACATTTTATTTTGAAAAAATTTTAGACATAAAATGTAAAAATAGTACACAGATATCCCCTTCACTCAGCTCTTCTTCTATGCTAATTTGGCATAACCTCAGTATAATTAATGTTATAAAGTTAAAATTAGCACATACTATTAACTAATCTTTAAACCTTCAAAATCCAATCGTATCTCTAATGTCCTTTTTGTGACACTGCATCTACTGCAGGGTTCTGTACTGCATTGCCATGTTATCTCCTCAATGTCCAATCTGGGACAGTTCTCAGTCTTTGTCTTTCATGACTTTTACAATTTTGAAGAGTATTTACCACTTATTTTGTGGAATGTCCCTCAATTTAGGTCGGCATGTGTTTTCCCAAGAGTAGATGGAGAGTGATGTTTTGCCTTTCTTGGAATATCGTATCAGGAAGTATATGCTATGCGTAGGTCTTGTTCCTCACTAGATGATGTTAGCTCTGATCCCAGGTTTCCCTACTTTTTCAATTTGTAACTTAAAAAGTATATTTTAGGAAGATGTATTTTCTTTTAAGAATTTGAGCTTTTTAAAATTAGGTTGGTGCAAATGTAATTGTGGTTTTTGCCATTACTTTTAATGGTAAAAACCACAATTACGTTTGCACCAACCTGACAGAAACTGAGACATGGGCAATTGTGGGGGATTTCTTTTAGGGCTAGAAAACTTCTTATTCCCTCCTGATACCCAGCATGCTTCAAAGTCACATATCCACAGTCCAACAAGACTCTGCTCACCGTAATTTTAAACCTAAGTAGATTTGGGGGATCTAGTCTTTACAGCTAAAATCACCAGTCTGGTTGTTGTTTTAGTCACTTTCTTGGTTGATCTTTGCCAGAAATTTCTTCTGTTAATAAAACATAGCTCTTTAATATAGTACCTGTCCCCCAAATGTTTTGCAGTCTGTTTTGCCTGCTAGGAAAATAAAATAGACCTGAATCAGCAGAGACGGAGGATGCTTTAACTCTACAGTGGGTCAAGCAGCACTGACTACAATACTCAAGGGCTGCTGAAAAGCCATATCAGGTACCTCATATAGTCATGTATTACTAAGCTGATGCCTCAGGGTAGCACCACACCCAGCTGACACCACTTCCAACTGACAATTGTAACAAAAAGGGAACTAACGAGTTTTCAAATTCCTCCTGCATATTCCTGTCCATCATTGTGTGCCTTTGCTAATGCTGTTTGTTCCTCTCCTCTACCCCTGCATGGGATATTCTTCTCCAGTTCAGGTCAAATACCCTCTTCTCTGTAAAACTTTCCTTAATATTTTACACCCAGGGATGCCCAGGGCTGCTTGTGTTCTGATAGCTATTTTTATATGTCATTTATAAATAGCATATTGTATAGTGGTTAGTTATTGAGGTCACTTTCTCCCCTACTCAATTTTTAGGTCCTTAACATCAGAGACCATATTATTCTATTTGGAATCACAATATATAACTTTGAACATATTGGGTGGTAAATGAGGGTTCGTTGAGCAAAGGAGGTACAAACTTGGAATATAGTAAAATAGTAAATGCTGTATCACATTCTCTCTATCAATCTATTTATTGATCCATCTATCTAATCTAGCTTTACCCTTCCAGTTACAGAAAGATTTAAGGTGGCATTTGAACATGTACAATAAAAGATAAAAATAATATTAAACAAAAATAGATATGAAAAAATAGAAGTAGGAGGAAGGAGCCAGGAGTGTATCAAGTAAAACGCATGTTGTACTGTCTGTACTTTTGCTAGAGATGGAGTCTAAATAAAGCCTGTGATAAATATGGAAAAATAGTTTTCAAAATGTCAGGAAACCCATGGGACTATGCTATATAGCAAGAGAATGTTCTCCATGAGAATTTCCTTACCCAAAAGCCAATGTATAGCAAATATTAATTTCTAAAATTAAAATACAGGTATAATCCTGAATCATGCAAAAGTTATTTAATGATTGCCAGTCATGGTTTACTGAAGCAATGCACATACCAGTTTTCTCTTTACATTTGTGATTTTTGGAACAAAGCATCTTTGGAACCAGGGAAATAGGTAGGTTACCCTTAAGGTAAATATAATGTGAGAGTGAAGTGCAAACTAATTCTCCTATTTGTTGAATGTTCTCATTTCTAGAATTTATAGGGAAGAAAATTACATTCATTTGAAAGATTTCTGAAGCCAAGTGGGGAGAGTGAGATATGAACAAGTACTTGAATTTGTTCATGTGCATGCACTTTAATTTTGTGCTAAGTATTCACAGTCTTCACAAAATAAAGTGATGTCTTTATAAAATGAATACTTCATCTATAGCCGCACTAATGTATCTCATTAGATTTGTGGGCTAAACTGAAACATTATGGGATCATATTACAGGAACACTTGTCAAGCTATGCATCAGCTTCCTTGCAAAAGATAATATTTTTTCCTATCACTCCTCTTTATCCACTTTAAACTAAAATAATGTCTGCTACCTCCTATCACCTTTCTACTGCTGAAAAGAGGTATCACAGGCCCACAGATCGAGAAAGTTCTACAATAAACAAGATAAAAAGCTGGTTCTGACTTGCTGATAAAGGTTACATGCAAAGACCCTTAATCAAACACTACCCATTCCTCTTTTCTAACGCATTAAGTTTTCTTACCAAACCAGTAGTTTCATTGTCTGCAATGGGATTTTAGATAGGAATAACTGGCCAATTAAATATTTCAAATATTCTGCCTACCAAATCAAGGAAGGAACAGGACAATCAAGCAGTGCAATTTGATGAATGTCTGGAGGAATAAAAGAAAAGGTCATGTTTCAGTTTCTACTGGGGATCCTTTATTTTTTTTTTCTTTTAAAATAACACTTTTATGGAAAAAATACAATGAATAATCATCTTTAACCTTAAAATCTTTTTGAAAATTGTGTAATTTAGCTCTTTTATTGGGTCATCTTTAAAAACATTCAGTGCTCCACATAAAATGGGAACTCGATAGTGCGGTCTGAAATACTCTTAAACAGTCTTATGTTTCTCCTATTTCAGGCTAATTGAACTTGTGTTTCCATTTTAATTTTTTAAAATGTAGTTCTGTGTGATTTATGTATTCACAAATTCAGGAAAGCTAATTAGAGGGCAATATTAGAAAAGGCCATCATAAAACACGTTTCACAGGCAAATAAGCAACAAAAATGAGTTTTGATGTTTTTTCGAATGCTGTACTGTTCAAAGTGAGGTTACAGTAACCTTATTTGATTTCCTACAAATTCATTATGCTAATACTGAAAATTAATTATGTTCTTGCATCAGAATTTATGGAATTCAGAAAATATTAAACTTCTTATAAATTTGAGAATAAAAGTCAGTCTGCTAAATCAAATAACAAAGTATAAACTTGAGCTTATCTCTCTGTACATTTCTCTGAATTATGTAATATCTAAGCATTTATTTTATAATCAAAAATGCTAGACTATGTAAAATACATGTGGTTGTAATCCATACAGAATTGATTGTAATGCACACAGTTGTAATCCATATAGAATTGGTTATGAAAGATGAAACAGTGGATAGCAGTATAATTTTGTGGTTTGGAGATGGGTATGGAGTCGTCTATTCTTGTGTTCAACAAATAATATTCCAAGTCAAGTTTTAGGTCCTGGGAATATAGCTGTAAAAGTCTCTGGCCATACATTTGAGTGAGAAGAAGATGATAATATAAACTAATAAATATCTTATATAATATAAATGAGAGGAAGATAAGGACATAGTGACAGGGAAGGTCCAGGGCTTCTACTTGTTAGAGTTGGCCTCTTTAAGCTCAGTTGTTACATTTTTTATGATATTTTTCTACCTGATAGTGTTCTTGTAACACATTAAATATTATAATACAGGAACTTTTTTAGATGTTACTTGGCACTAGATGCACACACACGCAAACAAACACATTAAAGATATATAGGATTAAGTTTGGCAGAAAAGCCCAAATCTTATTGTCTTTCATCTACAATCTGAAGAAAGATGGCCCACAGCTTGTATGATATTCCACTGCATCAGGGGTATAGATTCCCTTTCTTTTATTGGCTCTATCACGCATGACCTCCAATTCAGGCCCCAAGATGACTGACCCAGCTATAGGTTGCCGACCTTCCTTCCAGCAAACAGTGAAAAATAAAACAAAGAGAACTTTCTCCCTTTTCTTAAGAATATGTCCTGAAAGTCACATACACAACTTCTGCTTATATTTCTTTTTTTTCTTTTGAGACGGAGTCTCTCTCTCTCGCCCAGGCTGGAGTGCAGTGGCGTGATCTCAGCTCACTGCAAGCTCTGCCTCCCGGGTTCAGGCCATTCTCCTGCCTCAGCCTCCCGCGTAGCTGGGACTACAGGTGCCTGCCACCACGCCTGGTTAATTTTTTTTTTTTTGTATTTTTGGTAGAGACGGGGTTTCACCGTGTTAGCCAGGATTGTCTCGATCTCCTGACCTCGTGATCCGCCAGCCTCGGCCTCCCAAAGTGCTGGGATTACAGGCGTGAGCCACCATGCCTGGCCGTTCTGCTTATATTTCATTGACTAGGCAGATTAAAATGGCAGGGAAGCTGGGTGCTATGGTTTGAACGTCCCCTCCAAAACGCATGTTGAAATTTATTTGCCATTTTAACAGTGTTGAGAGATGGGACCTTTAAGAAATGATTAAGTCATTGGCTGGGTGTGATGGCTTATGTCTGCATTCCCAACACTTTGGGAAAGCAAGGCAGGAGATCACTTGAGCCTAGGAGTTTTAGACCACCCAGTAGGACCCCATCTCTACAAAAAATTAAAATGTATGTGATGGTTATTATCGAGTGTCAACTTGATTGAATTGAAGAATACAAAGTAGTGATCCTGGATGTGTCTGTGAGGGCGTTGCCAAAGGAGATTAACATTTGAGTCCGTAGGCGGGGAAAGACAGACCCACCGTTAATCTGGATAGGCACAGTCTAATCAGTTGCCATGACAGCTAGAATATGAAGTAGGCAGAGAAATGTGAAAAGAGAGACTGGCCTAGCCTCCAGGCCTACATCTTTCTCCCATGCTGGATGCTCCCTGCCCTTGAACATCAGACTCCAAGTTCTTCAGTTTTGGAACTCAAACTGGCTCTCCTTGCTCCTCAGTCTGCAGATGACCTATTGTGGGACCTTGTGATCATGAGTTAATATTTAATAAACTCCCCTTTATATATATATATATATATATGATATATATTAATATATGATATATATGAGTGTGTGTGTGTATCTATATACATATATTCAATTAGTTCTGTCCCTCTAGAGAACCCTGATTAATACAGATTTTGGTAGCAGGAGTGGTTCTAGAGGAGCAGAGTATTAAGGATGGAGTTCTTTCATTGGTTTTGGGGTTTCTGGAGTTGGCTGCTTAATATGATTAGACCTCAAAATACTAAGGACTCTTCTTCTAATAGTATGGAGAACACTGATAGTCCTTGGCATGAACTGTTTAGAGAGTTATGCAAAATAAATGAATTTGATTTATCCTGATTCATCCCTCGTGTCGAGAGGCAAGAAGTTTAGTGACTCTATACATAATAGCTTTGACCATATGTGGAGAACCAAAGAACATCTGGTACCTGGTATGTAGCCATTGACTTGGCAAATGCCTATTTCTCCATTTATGTCCATAAGGCCCACCAGAAGCAATTTGCCTTCAGCTGGCAAGGCCAGCAATACTCCTTTACTGTCCTACCTCAGGGGTGTATCAACTCTCCAGCTTTGTGTCATAATCTTATTCAGAGAGACTGCAATTGCTTTTTGCTTCCACAAGATATCACACTGGTCCATTACATTGATGACATTATGTTGATTGGATCCAGTGAGCAAGAAGTAGCAAACACACTGGACTTACTGGTGAGACATTTGGGTGCCAGAGGATGGGAAATAAATATGACTAAAATTCAGGGACCTTCTACCTCAGTAAAATTTCTAGGGGCCTATTGGTGTGGGGTCTGTTGAGATATTCCTTCTAAGGTGAAGGATAAGTTGCTGCATTTGGCCCCTCCCACAACTAAGAAAGAGGCACAATGCCTAGTGGGCCTATTTGGATTTTGGAGGCAACATATTCCTCGTTTGGGTGTGTTACTCTGGCACATTTAGCAAGTGACCTGAAAGGCCGCCAGTTTTGAGTGAGGTCCAGAATAGGAGAAGGTTCTGCAACAGGTCCAGGCTGCTATGCAAACTCCTCTGCCACTTGGTCCATACGAGCCAGCAGATCCAATGGTGCTTGAGATGTCAGTGGCAGATAGGGATGCTGTTTGGAGCCTTTGGCAGGACCTCATAGGTAAATCACAGTGGAGGCCTCTAGGATTTTGGAGCAAGGCCCTGCCATCTTCTGCAGATAACTAATCTCCTTTTGAGAGACAACTCTTGGCCTGTTACTGCGCTTTGGTGGAAACTGAATGTTTGACCATGGGTCATCATGTTACCCTGTGAACTGAACTGCTTATCATGAACTGGGTGCTTTCTAACCCATCAAGCCATAAAATGGGTTATGTATAGCACCATTCCATCATCAAATGGAAGTGGTATATATGTGATTGGGCTTGAGCAGGTCCTGAAGGCACAAGTAAGTTACATGAAGAAGTTTCTCAAATGGCCATGGTCTCCACTCCTGCCACCCTGCCTTCTCTCCCCTCGCCTGCACTGATGGCCTCATGGGGAGTTCCCTATGATCAGTTGACAGAGGAAGAAAAGACTAGGGCTTGCTTCACAGATGGTTCTGCACGATATGCAGGCACCACCCTAAAGTGGACAGCTGCAGCATGACAGCCCCTTTCTAGGACATCCCTGAAGGATAGCAGTGACGGGAAATCTTCCCAGTGGGCAGAACTTCGAGCAGTGCACCTGGTTATATACTTTGCATGGAAGGGGAAATGGCCAGATGTGTAATTATATACTGATTCATAGGCTGTAGCCAATGGTTTGGCTGAATGGTCAGGGACTTGGAAGAAGCATGATTGGAACACTGGTGACAAAGAAATTTGGGGAAGAGGTATGTTGGTGGACTTCCCTGAGTGGTCAAAAACTGTGAAGATATTAATATCTTATATGAATGCTCACCACCGGGTGACCTCAGCAGAGGAGGATTTTGATAATCAAGTGGATAAAATGACCCGTTCTCTGGACATCACTCAGCCTCTTTCCCCAGCCACCCCTGTTATTGCCCAATGGGCCCATGAACAATGTGGCCATGGTGGCAGGAATGGAGGTTACGCATGGGCTCAGCAACATGGTCAACACTTACCAAGGCTGACCTGGCTATGACCACTGCTGAGTGCCCAATTTGCCAGTGGCAGAGACCAACGCCGAGCCCTCGATATGGCATCATTCCTTGGGTGATCAGCCAACTACCTGGTGGCAGGTTGATTATATTGGACCTCTTTCATCATGGAAAGGGCAGAGATTTGTCCCCACTGGGTTTGCCTATTCTCCATGCAGTGCTTCTGCCAAGACTACCATCTGTGGACTCACAGAATGCCTTATCCACTGTCATGGTATACCACACAACATTGCCTCTGACCAAGGAACTCACTTCATGGCTAAAAAAGTGAGGCAACAGGCTCACGCTCATGGAATTCACTGATCTTACCATGTTCCCCATCATCTTGAAGCAGCTGGATAGATAGAAAAGGGGAATGGCCTTTCGAAGTCCACAATTACAATGCTAACTATGTGACAATACTTTGCAGGGCTGGGGAAAAGTTCTCCAGAAGGCCATGTATGCTCTGAATCAGCATCCAATATATGGTACTGTTTCTCTTATAGACAGGATTCACTAAAATTCAGGCACCTTCTACCTCAGTAAAATTTCTAGGGATCCAGTGGTGTGGAGTCTGTTGAGATATTCCTTCTAAGGTGAAGGATAAGTTGCTGCATTTGGCCCCTCCTATAACCAAGAAAAAGGCACAATGCCTAGGGGGGCTATTTGGATTTTGGAGGAAACACATTCCTCATTTGGGTTTGTTACTCTGGCACATTTATCAACTGACCCAAAAGGCTGCCAGTTTTGAGTGGGGTCCAGAATCAAGGGATGGAAGTGGAAGTGGCACCACTCACCATCTCCCCTAGTGATCCACTAGCAAATTTTTTTGCTTCCCATTCCTGCGACATTACATTCTGCTGGCCTAGAGGTCTTAGTTCCAGAGGGAGGAACATTGCCCCCAGGAGACACAACAATTCCATTAGACTGGAAGTTAAGACTTTGGGCTCCTCCTACCTTTAAGTCAACAGGCTTAGAAGGGAGTAACAGTGTTGGCTGGCGTGAATGACCTAGACTATCAAGATGAAATCAGTCTACTACTCCACAGTGGAGGTCAGGAAGAGTATGCATGGAATACAGGAGATCCTTTAGGGTGTCTCTTGGTATTAACATGCCCTGTGATTAAGGTCAATAGAAAACTACAAAAGCCCAATCCAGGACTACAAATGACCCAGACCCTTCAAGAAAGAAAGTTTGGGTCACTCCACCAGGAAAAATAATCACAACCTGCTGAGGTGGTTGCTAAAGGCAAAGGGAATACAGAATGGGTAGTAGAAGGTAGTCATCAATACCAGCTATGACCACATGACCAGCTGCAGAAACGAGGACTGTAACTCTCATGAGTATTTTCTCCTTCTTTTGTTTCCTTCTTCATTTAATTTCTTTTCTTTTTTATCATGTGACATAAGATTTATTGACTTCACATCATCATTTAAGTATTGTTAATGTTAGGTAATAATATTTGAGTTGGGGATTGGTGCGTTTCTGGTTGTACGAAGGATAGTTGTATTATGTTAGACATAATTATGACCTTATTATTCTCTTTATCTGAAGGTTATGTATAATCTCAGGAGGTGTGTATGGGTTCAAGTTGACAAAGGGTGGACTTGTGATGGTTAATACTGAGTGTCAATTTGACTGAATTGAAGAATACAAAGTATTGATCCTGGATGTGTCTGTGAGGGCATTGCCAAAGGAGATTAACATTTGAGTCAGTGGGCGGGGAAAGGGAGGCCCACTCTTAATCTGGGTGGGCACAATCTAATCAGTTGCCAGCGCAGCTAGAATATAAGCAGGCAGAAAAATGAGAAAAGAGAGACTGGACTAGCTTCCCAGCCTACATCTTTCTCCCATTCCGCATGCTTCCTGCCCTCAAACATCAGACTCCAAGTTCTTCAATTTTGGAACTCAAAGTGGCTGTCCTTGCTCCTCAGCCTGCAGATGACCTATTGTGGGACCTTATGATAGTGTGAGTTAATACTTAATAAACTCATATATATATATATATATATATATATATATATACCATTATTATATATATTATTCTCTCTCTATATATATTTTAATTAGTTCTGTCCCTCTAGAGAACCCTGACTAATACAATGTAAAAAAAAAAAATTAGCTTGGTGTGGTGATCCATGCCTGTAGTCCCAGGTACTTGAGAGGCTGAGGCAGGAGGATCCTTTGAGATCAGAAATTTGAGGCAGCAATGAGCTATGATGACACCACTGTACTCCAGCCTGGGTGACAAGGTGAGACTCATCTCTTAAAAATAATGTAAAAAAATTACATGATTCAGTCATGAGGGTTCTGCCCTCATGAAGAGATTAATGCTATTATTGTGGAAGTGAGTTAGTTATCACAGGAGTAAAACATATCCTGATAAAAAGATATGTTTGGCCCAAGAGTTTGCCCTCTCTTGCACAATAGCTTCTGCCTCCCACATTTCACCATGGGATCACCCATACTAGAGGCCAGTGCCATTTTCTTGAAATTCCCAGCCTCCAGAACCATGAGGCAAATAAACATCTTTTATTTATAAATCACCCAGTCTGTGGTATTCTGATGTAGGTATAGAAAATTGACTAAGAAACTGGGTACTGTACTTTTTTTGATTTGTTTGTTGTTTGTTTGTTTTAACCATGAGGCTATCTTCTCAGGTAAAAAAAAAAAAAAGGTCTTTTATTCTACAGAAAAGACAATATCAGTGGCAGTCTCAGTCTTCAATTCATAGGGCCAGTATAACTGAGCATGATGATTCTCTTTCTTTAGAGTAGCTTTGAAACTCTCCTGACATCTTCTTAGAGGGGAGAAAAATGCCGCAGCAATGAGGACCCCAGGTGAATTGAGTTAAATAAAATGTCCTTATATTGAATGGACATTAGCTTTTTAAGTCAATATTTTGATAGTAGGAGTGTTAAGCAATATTCAGTTTCAGCTACACAGTTCTATTTTAATGAAGCTTATTCCTGGCTGGGTTTGCAATATGCTAAACATTTTACAAATTATTTAGCATTTACTTTTAATGGAAAAAGTGTATGAGCATATTACAGGAAAAATTTTAACTTAATATAAAATGAATCCAGCCTTTTGCTGAAGGTTACATTAGGAATGTCTTAACAGGCACAGTATGATTTTCAGAAATTGAAAATCCTATAAAGTACATACAACCTACTATCTACTTTTAAGTGCCACTTAACATTGTCCACTCATATTGGGGTTATAAAATAAATTGACAACAATTTAAAACAGTTGCATAATTTTACAGTCTTGGAAACGGGGTCAGAGAGATTAAAAGACTTGCTAAAAAAAAGAAAAAAAGAACCCAACAATTAACGGTGGCAATAGGAGATGATTCTTTTAATTTCTAGATAAAATGTTTTGTAAAAAATAAGAATATGAACAAAGCAACTGAGCAGGGCAAATTAATTTTATGAACCCAGCTCTTCATGTATTTTTCAAATGATGGTATTGGAAAGAGTGGAGGGATGAAAACTAAACATACCAGTAGTGGGGTTTAAACCCACACAGCCACTACTCCATTGGATCTTAAGTCCAATGCCTTAACCACTCAGCCAAATGAGTGATTTTTGAGACTGGCTCTTAATCACTATCCTTAGAATACCAAACTCAAAAGCAAGAAACAACTGAAGACACTCAATTGCCATATTGGCACATATATGGTTCAATGTTGTATGGTTATTCAGGTCTTTAAATACTTTGGGCTTTTTAATGTTTGGCAACATAATCGTTTTTATTAGTGTTGCAGGAAAAAAAATGTGATTTAAGTATCAATAAAAAAATATAATGTCCAAAGGAAACACTTTGCTTCATGGAAAGAGAAAAACATTTTGAGGACTTTGGGCTTTTTATATTTTACACAAAACATTTAGGCTTGAAAGCCATGCCAAGTCTCAGAGAGGCTTTGAAACTTTAAGTTAATGTATCCAGAAGAAAGGTTAGTGCTTATTCTTAGTGCATCACTGGTCAGCCAGTCAGTTGGTAAATACCAGTTATTAAAAACTAAATGTGTTCATGGCACAGCTTTGGGATTGTTAAAAAAAAAATGCTAGCTTTGTTCCTTTTATCAAAGCTGTTAATTATCTTAAGGATGACTAAGAACACTCTCAAATGAAAAATCTGAAGTGAAATAAGACACACGTATATACAAATCTAGCAGCAGACCTCTTGGCTTCTGTACATAAGAGCAGAAGGATCACTAGATTTACTCATAGACGAAATTTTAGTGGCCAATTGAAATCAATTAAACCATGAGATTCAAAAGAATTTCCTGGTCTTTGGCAAATGAGGCTCAGTTTGTGCGGATTATGCATATTTGTTAGTTTAGAAGAAAGATGTAATGATACATGAGAGTAAGTAGATGTTACAGAGAATAATGTGTGAGGCAGGAAGCAGAAAGTATTGTGGCTGCAGAAAAGGGCAGGGACCAACTAAAGAATCTTGAGGGTCACGTTTTCAAGACTTGCCTTTGTCTTGTGGATGATGGTGCAATATTGAGAGCTTTTAAGAAACAATGATATGACTTCTTACCAACTCCAATAATTCATAGCATGTCTGAAGCCTTAGTATAATTAAATATGGGTAAGAGAAAAAAAAAACAAAAACAATGGAGAGACTAATAGAAAGAAGGAATAAAGGAAAGAAGAACAAGATAAAGGGCTCTGTTATTATTTGCCCCTGAAACCAAGGTCACCACTCAATCCTGGCAATGCCTGTTTTGCTGATGAATGGGTTATAACAAGGTGTAGTTGCTAAAAGCTTACTCAATGATAATGATAATAAAACCACAGTAATGATCTGATGTACCAGGCAATGCCGTTGTACTTTCCAGGATTAAGGTATGATTTAAAACTGTTTTCACAACCTCTCTGCATTATGCTGTGCTAATTTCAAAAGTAGCTTTTTTGTTTGTTTTTTTCAAATCAAATATCTGTATTCTTAACTGAGTTTCTCTCAGACCTCAGTACTCTATCCTTTAATGGCTGTGATCACTATGTTATGTTACCATGACTACTATCTGCCATGGTTTTAATTTTCACATAATATTTGCTGTTATGATTATGAACTAGCAGCTGGGGAGACTAATTTATTACTTGGCTATTACTGTTAAAGGTCATGTAACTCCAACGTTCTGCTAAAGCATTTGATCACATCCTGCGTGCTCTGCCAGAAAGCCTTTCTTCTGGCAACTCCTCAGGCTTCTGTGGAATTTATCACTTTTTCAACCAGGGAAGTTGAAGCCAGTAGGTACTTATTTCTGGTAGCTGCCAATAAAGTATCTGATTTCTCAAATGCCCTCTGTTCTTATACCCAGCTTTTCTTTATTCAGTAGTTATAAGAAATGTTGTTCATAAAAATTCAGCTACCTACATAGTCAACCCTCAACTATCTGTGGGAGATTAACTTAGTTCTAAATATTACTTGAAATCTCAATTAGGACACTTGACTGTGTTATTTAGGTATATGGAAGAATACATTCGAGTCTACCTGTGAAAAGTCTATTAATATTGCAGGTGCAAGTTGTGGTTTATAGGACAATTTTGAGACAAGCAGAGGAAAACTCTGTCTCTCTCTCTCCGTCTCTCTCTCTCTTTCAAGTGGAGTGGGTAGTACAGATTGGAATGTAGAATTTATAATAAATGGAATAATGCAACTGGTTAAGTGTTAATGCCCTAAATATAAGAGGAAAGACAGTCAGGATCCACTTCAGCATATAGAAAAGTATAGAGGTTTTAGTAACCCTTCCTAGATACCATAGATAACTTCTCAATTAAATATTAGTTCAATCTCAGAATTGTCCTTAATATTGAAAAGCCAAATGGAAACCTAAAACATCATTTTTATGAGACAACTTGCCTATCAACATTAGGGTATTTGTGACCAAAACATAGCCTCATTAAACATTTGTGAATGAGCAAAAACAATATATCTTCAAGATAAGAGTGACTTCAACTTCTGGTTCTGTAGAACACTGAGGAAGGACTGCAAATCACACTGGCAGGCAAGCTGGCATGCAGGAATGGTGTCCTATGGCACAATCTGAACATCATTTACAATACAAAGAGCTATAGAGAAGAGCTCAGTTTTTCCTGGATAAGATGTCTGAGTAGTGATGGTGATGCCATATTTCTGGAAAACTTAACATGTATCATTTTAAATGGAAGGGTAGACAACAGAAGATATGTTAAGTTTGATGAAATGATAGGTCGGATTAGAAAGGGGTAGGAATATCCTGGAGGTAGTTGAAATAGTCCATTCAGGGAGGAAATAGGGTCATAATGAAAATTCTGTTATAAAAGAAATTTCATGGAAGGAGAGACAAAATTTAGGATAGACCTAATAACATTGAGACCCATGTGGTTATAATCCTGGAACAGACAAGAGAGCAGTGATGCTGACAGTGCCTGACGTTAAGAGCACAGGCATATAAGGAAGATAAAAATATATACTTTTGATATTTTGAATCAATAAAATGTAAGTATATAGAAGAGAATGAAGCAAAACCCAGAACTCTAGAACATGTGCACTTTTAGGAGTTAGGAAACAAAACAATCAAAGAAAGCAGAGAAAATTAGAAGGAGGGAGAGAAAATAAGAATAGGGAGAGATAAAAAAAAGTTGGAAATAATCAATAGAGAATTTTAAGAAAGATAGGTAGTCAAAAGGGCCATATGTAACAGAAAGAAGTTCAGGAAGAAACAGCCAGGACAAGGTCCTGGGAACTAGGAGCCAGAGGAGGAAGTCACATCCAGGCAAGGTGGGGAGAGAGGGGAGGCAGCAGGTGTAGACCATCTTGTGGAAAAGACTTTTCTATAAAGTGTTTCAAAAAATGAGGTGTTAGCTCAAGAGTAACAAGGGAAGTATTTTAAGATAAAGGGAAATAATCATGGTGTTTTGTTATTTGTTTCTTCAGAGGGAGAAAAATCTAAACAGAAGCATCTAAAGAACCAGGGAAAGTAAAGGATGATTTATGGGCAAGTTCTCAGGTGGAAAGATACAATGAGAATGTGATTTCTATGTTAAAGCTATGAAGTCATAGGCTCTGTGAAGCATTTCTGTCATCTTATGTTGCTTATTAAATAAATTTATTTTTTGCACTTCTTTAATAAATTAATAATGATAGAAAGATGGATTCTAAATGCTTCTTCTGACATGGATAGATAATGGTTCTAGCAGTGTCAGCTTAAAAAAAACTTCTTTGCCTTTTCTTTTATTTCTCCCTGCTTTTAAAAGTTCCACTTTGGGGATGTAGGAGTTGGCTTCCTCCAGTTTTCCAAAAGCTTCTTGCGTGTAGATTTCTGGTTTGTTTTGGTCTGTGGCACAGTCATGGAATGTCACTTGTGAAAGCCATGTGAGACTCCAGGGAGATGCAGCTGAGAAGGCTTGCAGAGGCTTTCATAGATCTCACAGCTGCTTCCATCAGATGCTTAGATTCTCGGTTTGAACAGAAACATTATATCTTTGGTCAGAACCTTTAGTCAAGTAAAAATTGCAATGTAGAGAATGCCCAGTTGGTGTCCCAGACTTTGACACTCACCATTTTGTCTCAGGTGTCATGAGAGTTTATGTTCTCAGGCCTTTGCTCCTTTCTAAGACACAGATCTCCCTTTACTAACTTTATCTGTCAATGTGGGTTTAATTTTATTTGTATACTGATGACAACAGATTAATATTATAAATTTAGCCTTAATGTTCTCTCTGCCACATCTGTGCTATATGCTTGCCAAACTAATGTCAAGAATATGATATCTAGAATTTTTTTTTCAAGTTATCCCTACCAAAATGGTTGCTTTTGTGAAATGCAGGTAACCCTGTAACCCTTCAGCTTTTCTCTCTCATTTTCTTGAAACTTCATGTTAGAAAACAACATCTTGAAAATGAGAATATCAGACCCAATAGAGTTTTCTCTGTTTTTTTTTTAATTAAAACTTTATTTCTGGTAAAAATAACAAAAACATACATAAACCAGAAAACCAATGACATCAAGCTCTAGCAATCTTAATAGAGAAACAATATTTTACTTCTACTTCAGAAAGCAAATGCCAGAACGATGTGCTTTTTCATCTTAAACCTTTTTTTTTGATCAACATTGAATGGCTCAAAAACTTTAATAACAAATAACTAACATTTGAACAAGGCTATAAAGGTTTTAAGGGATATTTATGTACATAATCACTTTTAATTCTAGAAAAACCTTGCAAGAGGGTCACTATTATTACTCTCAGTTTGAATCCAAGGTCATGAAGAACAGAGAGCTCAAATAATTTCTAAATGCTCATCCATAAAGCAGGTAGCTGAGCTTCTGGGTTCAAACCTCAAGATCTTTCTATAATTCCACATTACCCCCAAGCTATGTGTTACTGTTTTGGGATACATTTATGGCTTCTGTTGCAATAAAACTTTGTCCTGAACCACTAAAGTGAGAATAGAAAGATACTTTTCTTTCTCAGAAAGTGGCTAATCCCAACTTAACTTTTAGAAACTTGTAGAAGTAATCATAATAAAGCTGAATGCCAAGAAAATTACATTTTTTCTTAGTTATAATAAGAAAAGCTTATGTTTCTTGAACAATGATCATACACCAGGAACTCTAGTGCTTTAAATGAGTTATCTCATTTAATTTTCATAATGGTATTATGCAGATTATTACTACTATCCCTATCTATCAATGTGGAAGCTGGCAATGATAATTTAACTTGCCCAAGGTCACCCAGGTGACTTCAAAAACAGTCTGCTTATAGAGTCTGCATGGTTAACCTCAGTAAGTACTCCTTCTCAGCTAAAATACTTGGAATGCAGTTGGTCTATTGAAAAGCTTTTCCTCCAGAATAGTAATGTAGCCTCCAAGGAAGTGTTAACAGAGATGTGCTGAGCAATGAAAAAGAAAAGTGAGGGAAATAAAGTTTTCAGAGTAAGTTTATCCACTCTAGAGATATTTACTGCCACACCCATAGCTGTTCCGAAGCCCATCATCATCTGGTGTATTTCTGCTTCACCTCCACTGGTGTCCTTGCCTGCTTTGACAGAACCAGGTAATGGACCTGCATTTAGCCACACGCTCAGTTGCTCTGCCTGTCTCATCATTTGCTCCAACGAGCCTGGCACTTGAGCTTGATTCATATTAAATGGTCAGATTTCTTTTGGATTTTGATAGATGGTGTGATTAGGATGTAGAAAATGATATTATAGCAATTAATCAATTAATTTATCTGAGTATATGTACTGGAATCACACCATATTTAGGCATCATTGACACACTTATTCATTTATTAATTAATTCAGGGGATTCCTAGTACAGTCAAAATAAAATCTAACCTCTCCAGATGACTATATGGCCCTACATGATTTGGCCCCTGTTACTCACTCCAGACTTGTCTCTTCCAACTGTTTCCTTGTGTTCCTTTATTTGCTTTCTTTCTGTTGAACATTCTGAATTTATTCCTGTCTCACAGCCTTTGTAGTTGCTGCTACCTTTGTCATAATGACTTGACCTCTCCAATTCTCAGATACTCCCTTTATTCAGGTATCTGCTCAAATATCACTTCTGAGAGGCCTTCCCCATCACCTTATCCAAAACATCACCTCATCATCCCACGCTCCATCTTTTCACCCTACTTTTTCTTCAGACTAGTTATCTTAACTAATAGCATAGTATTTATATTCCTATTTTTCTACACTATAATATAAAATCGTGAGAGTGGGGGCTTTATCAGTCTCATTCATCCCTTTATTACCATCACCCTGCACAGCACCTGGCTCATTTCAGGTGCTTGTCTTGAGTGCCTAGTTTTTCTTAGGCACTACTCTAGATTCTGTGACACAATTATGAGTAAGACCAACAAAGTCCTGCTCTCACAGAACTTATATTTTAGTATGGAAGACTGACAAAAACAAATGAATAATTTTTATTATATCAGATGGTAATGAATTAATAAGCCAAATACCTACAGTATATATCACTATTAAGAGGTTCAAAACACAAGAAGTGGAAAATATTATTCTTACTTACCCTGATTAACTTGAAATTATTCATATAAATACAAAGGAATCAAATAGTATGAAAAGATAAAGGAATGCTCAGAGAGGAATAAAGGTATTAGGAAATGAAAGGAGGTAAGTCTTGAATTAAGTAAGAGACAGGAATTAAAGAATAGAACTAAGTGGATAGGCACAAAGGGAGGAAAAGCTCCATGCACATAAAATTAAATATTTTGCAAAATACTTCATGAATCCTTCTTTGTCTTTTCTTCCAGCCTTTACATTGCTTAGCCTCTTACCTTTGCTTGATATTATACTTACCTCAGTAAAGTACCTACACTTGATAATATTTATAATATGAAGGTTTAATCTACATCTGACTCCAAACATTATCTAAGTCTCAGTTGTGGAACAAGAAATAGATGACAGAAGGGATCCAGGAGTCTCACATTTAAAACAGGTGAGTGGAAGTCAGTTGCAATGTAAATTGTAAACATCTAAGATATGGTATTTATGTCCTTTCCGTGAATTATTATGCTCATCGATATATCTGTTTGTATCCATTTTCTTATTTTGAAGTCCAAAAATGAGTGAATATTTTATCAGAGTTTTTCAATTAAGTAGGTAACTTAAAAATTCAACAATGTAAAAAAAAAAGTCTTTAGTAATCATGAAGCACACTTTGCTTTAAATATTTAGGCCCCAACATAAATCCTGTTACTATAATACACATGTATATGCAACATTATAAACACTTACCATATATAAAATACATACATTTGTAAAAATTAAAAGTTAAAGTATTTTTGTTCTTGAGAAAATGGTAAATAAACTAGCAATAAAAACACTATTAAATATGAAAGCAGGGACTAGTAAGTTGACCAGTAAAAGTTCAATTTAGACTAAAATATACTAGCAGATTTTTAAAAAACCTTTTGTCTTGCCCTCGAGGGAAACTGTGATATTAATATGAATAATATAATGATAAGAGACATAGACACCCACACATATACATATTGATATAGTTGGCAAAGGGTAAAGTGCAATTACTTCTAATTCTCAGAGCAAATGAGCAGGATGGTATTATCTCCATTTTGAAGATGACATATTAGGGCTCTGAGAGGTAAAATAACTTGCCTGCAATAATGCACTCAAATTCTGATATGTCTGACCCTAATGCCTGTGCTCCTTCTGCTACATCATACTGCCTTCATTAGATGACAAATCACCCTTTGTGATAAATCAAGGAATTACCTCTTTAAATAAAAGCAAAACGAATGAACAATAGAGACCTTACTTGCTCTGCTCTCTCATTATGTAAGTGTTACAGACTGAATCATGCTCTCCTAAAATTCATACATTGAAGTCCCAACCTCTAAAATCTTAAAATGCAGCTGTATTTTGGAGATAAGATTTTTAATAGAGGTGATTAAGTTAAAATTAGGCAGTTAGAATTAAAAGTTAAGTTACAACTTGGGTGTGACCCTAATCCAATATGGGCTGGTGTCCTTATAGAAAAAAGGATAGACATTTGGGATGCATTTGCAGAGAAAAGGCTATGTAAAGATAAAGTAAGAAGGCAGCCATCTGATAGCAAAAGAGAGGACTCTTATGAAACAAAACCTTCTGACACCTGGATGTTGAACTCACAGCCTGCGGAAGTGTGAAAAAATTAAATTTCTGTTGTCTAAGCCATGCAAACCGTGGTACTTTGTTATGGTAGCCCAAGCCAGCTAATACAGAAAGGCCAGCCTGTTTACCAATTTATGAAGACCAGCCTGACAGATCTATTATTACATGGAAAACTCTCATTAGGATGCTAATTCATATGAAATTGGCAAGAAAGGAAATTTTTGTTATGTAAAAATATATGACTTTATGTACCCATGTATTCCTCAGTAAAGTACCTACACTTGATAATATTTATAATATGAAGGTTTAATTTACATCTGACTCCAAACATTATCTAAGTCTCAGTTGTGGAACAAGAAATAGATGACAGAAGGGATCCAGGAGTCTCACATTTAAAACAGGTGAGTGGAAGTCAGTGGCAATGTAAATTGTAAACATCTAAGATATGATATTTATGTCCTTTCCATGAATTATTATGCTCATGGATATCAGTAGACTATTCATTTTTTCTTTAAAATCAATAGTTGTTTCCTAAACTCCAAACTCTGAAAAGATAAATAAGGCCTTGCTATAGCATATTTATGCTTTTGCGTAGTATAAAAAAAGGAATTGATTTAAACTGATATTGAGAAACGTGGCATAGGCCAGAGAGACAGAAAGGTAGAGACTATGATTCCACCAGGACTTTGTTCAGTCTGGCCTTGTGTATTAAAAACAAAAACAAACAAAAAAAAAACTTTGTGTATTGGTTTCTCCAAATATAAAAGCAATAAATGAAAACCTGCCCTTGTTCACAGGATACAAAAAGAAATTGTAAGAAGAAAGGCCAGAGAATATAATGGTAAAAATCAGGGATTTCAATTGCTTCAATACTCTAGGAAGATTACTCCAGTGTCTTTTTTTTTTTTTTTTTTTTTTGAGACAGGATATCACTCTGTCATTGAGGCTAATGTGCAGTGTGCCATCATGATTATTGCAGCCTCCAACTCCTGGGCCCAAGTGATCCTCCCACCTCAGCCTCCCAAGTATCTGGGACTACAGTGAATTTATTTTTTATTATTTATTTTTATTTTTTGTAGAAATAGGGTCCACTATGTTGCCAGGCCTGGTCTCGAATTACTGGGCTTAAGTGATCCTCTCACCTTGGCCTCCCAAAGTGCTGGGATTATAGGCATGAGCCCCTGAGCCCAGATCATGCAGTGTCTTAAACTTCTAAGAGTAGTATCTGCAATTGGTACAATTTTGAAATATTTCCATTAACGAAACTCTGAATATTGGAAGAATTCAAATCTGATATTTCCAACATGAATTCAGTGACAAGTGGATAAGTGAAGTAGCTTGTCCTTGAATTCTTAGGATATTTGGGTGTCTTCTTCTCCACTTCTACCACTGGACATAAATAGCAAGACCAAAGTATCTGCCGACTCAAACTTCTTTACAAACACACACCCATCTCTAGCCATATGTCCATATGATAAATAAAAAATATTAGCAGCTAACATTTATTGAATGCTTGCTATATACCAGGAATTGTTCTCAGCACTTTACATGAAATAGCACATGAAAGTCTCATAATCCTGGACTCTTACTACTTTTAGCTGTACTGTGGCAAGAGATGCTAAGTACCTAAGGTCACACAGCCAATAAGTTCACAGTTGGTTTCAAACCTAGGCAGAGTAGCCCTGGAGGCTCCACTCTTAAACATTAAGCTCTATAGGCTCTAATAATAATACGTTTGTTTATATATGTTTTGAGCATCAAAATTCCTTGTTAAGTAAGATTAAGAGGTTAACCTTACCAGAGGTTAAAGTGATTTGATAACCATCACATGACTCATAATATAAATGGTGAAAACAGGTCTAAAAGCCAATACATCTCACTTTCAAGCCCATTCTCACGCAATCAAAACTGATTTTGGCAACACAGAAAGGAACTCACTACTAATTTACCTTTTTATCTTAAGCTGCTCTTATCAAGAAGGAACCAGCGAAGTATTAAGAAATTCTGCTGATTTTCTGGAAAATCTGAAGAGCATCTAACCATAGCATCCAGTTCCAAAGATGAAAGCTGTCTCAGCAATTGTATAAACCTGGCCAGTATCACTATTACCCAATATGTAGAAGTCCCTGTGGGGAAAAGAAGTCCCTGCTGTACAAGGGACAGTTAAGTGAAACCCCACACGCTCTCATTTCCAGTCTATCTGAGATGCTATATTGTAGTGCTTTTTTATTTTGGGTAAGGTTTCCTTCAGCATCTATCATATGACATTTAAAAAAATTAAAATTAATTTAAATTTATTTTGTTTTAGAAATTTATGGCCACACCGGAGGTAAATAGAGAAATAAGAGAGGAAAATTCTGAAATGGAACTCACTAGTTTAAGGATTTAGAGAGAAAGATGAGAAGGATGAGAAAGGGAGAGGAAAACTTTATGAAAATGAAAATGAATGATGATGAAGAAGACAGATGATGGATAAAATGGTAGCTGGAAAAAATTAAAGCCAAAGAGCAGAATAAACTAGAGCTTCACTTTTTTGCCCTGGCTTTATTTTGTTTTTTTCTACCAGATTTGACCTGGGTTTTCATGGTTCAAGTCCTGAAATAATGTCATCTTAATTTGTGCTGTGCCTTATAGTTCACATAATATTTCTTGCCCCTAGTTTACAGAAAAATCCTATGATATACTTAAAGCAGGTTATTATTTTACATTCTAGGTAAAAAAAAAAATTGAGATTCAAAGGGTTAAGTTGTTTTCCAAAGGTCATACAGCTAGTGATAGAACCCAGGTGTTCTAATTTCTAACTCAGTGTTCTTTTTACCACATGATGCTACCTCTTCAATGTGTTATTTAATATGGTGTTATAGTGTCAGGACAGGTGAAATTGTCTACTTCTCTTAGTTTTCAGAATCTTGATGTCTTTAGCTTGTGCCACTGCCTTCCTCATTTCCTATGAGATTGAGGTAACAAGAAAGGCCTGAATAAAAGTATAGATGCCGAAGCACATCCACACCCACTAACAGATATTATTTCCCTGAATAAAATTATTTGTCATCAAGACAACAAGTGAGAACAGGCTCAAAAGAATCACAAAAAAGTTTTTGTTTTAGTTATCATTTTCTTGCTGACAAGTACCTGCCATCTAGCCATCACATTGCTTCATATCACACCTGTCTACTCTCTAAGAAGTAGGCAGGAGCTGGCAGAAGATGGAATGTTGAGTCAGAGGAAGGCATGACTACACTTGGAGAGGGAAATTTACTGTAAGAGAGGAAAGGATGAAGGAGAAAGATAGGAGAAGGCAGTCCTGATGAAAAACTGGCAGATGATCCTCTATACAAGTATCTCAAACCTTGATTTAAAAGCAAAAAGGAATATAGATAAAGGTAACTTACCTTGACAGTTTAGGACTCGTGATATTGAAAAGTAAGAAAAAGAACGACCACCAACTTGATTTCTCCTATATATAAAACTCCTAGGAAAATAATAACTTGGCCAAGTTTATGTTTCCCCTCACACTAACTGAATTTGTAGCAAAATGTAGTCAGCAGTGAAAAATAGTGATAAATATATGTAGATAAAAGCTCTAAGTAAGCTGGAAATATGTTTGTCTTGTTCACTGTTGTATTCCTTCCACTTACTTTAATGCAGAATATAGCAGACCCTCAAAAATATATGTTTAATGAATAAAAACACAGATAAGTTTTATAATGCTTAACAGATAAGCAAGATCTCACAAGAAGAAATCACTACTATACACACAAAAACTGATAACCCAGTTTGGTCTACTTTGAAATAAGAATTACAAACTATTACAAGACTCAAAGTTTAGAACCATTTTACCATTTTATATTACTATAGATAAGAAAAAAGCTCATATACAAAATGTGATGGTTAATATTGTGTGTCAACTTGATTGGATTGAAGGATGCAAAATATTGTTCCTGGGTGTGTCTGTGAGGGTGTTACCAAAGGAGATTAACATTTGAGCCAGTGGACTGGGAGAGGCAGACCCACCCTCAATCTGGCTGGACAACATCTAATCAGCTGCCAGTGTGGCCAGAATAAAAGCAGGCAGAAGAATGGGGAAAGACTAGACTGGTTTAGTCTCCCAGCCTGCATCTTTCTCCCGTGCATCCACTTCCTGCCCTCTAACATCGGACTCCAAGTTCTTCAGCTTTGGGACTCTTGGACCTTTGACCGCAGACTGAAGGCTGCACTGTTGGCTTTCTTACCTTTGAGGTTTCGGATCTCCAACTGGCTTCCTTGCTCCTCAGCTTGCAGACAGCCTATTGAGGGACCTCACCTTGTGACTGTATGAGCCAATACTCCTTAATCAACTCCTTTTTATATATACTTCCATCCTATTAGTTCCATCCCTCTAGAGAAACCTGACTAATACACAGATATTCACACAGATAAAGATTAAGGGTAACAATTATTAGATCACCAGGACCTTGCCTTCCAAGTTGTCCTTCCTTCACTCCCCTCAGTCTAGTTTTTAATTGCCTACTCTAGAATTACATAAACAGTCACTTAACGGTTGTTTCAGAAGTGCTTGCACCCTGCTTTCCAACCCTCAAATCTTGTACTATCTAATCATCTTGATATATTGTGATTACTTTTTACTTGTTTTATGGTCTCCCCCACTCCCTCTACTTAATCTAAATTTCTTTGTCTCAGACAAGGCTCTGTCTTGCTTATTTACAGCTGTATTTTCAGCACATAGAAAACTGACAGGCATATAGCACGCACTCAACAAATATCTGTTGAGTGGATTAAGATGTATTTCAAATGCAGTTCTCTTTCTGAACTTTGTAATCCCCAAAGCTTTGTCCATTAGATTTATATTCCATAATAAGCACAAAATAATTATTTCAGATAACTTAAGCCATATTTATTATGCAACCATAGGTATAAATAATACAATTATAATTGTGAATCATGTAAAAGTAATATATTTGAATCACTTCTTGACTTCACTATATCAGAAGTGAATAATTTTATTTTCTTAATATTAACACTAATTAAAGAACCAATGAAACTACTGTATTGGTGTGTTTGCCAAAATAAATATTTTATCTAAAATCCATGAAAATATATAATTTCAACTAGAAATAAATCCTTTTGTATTGAAAAAGGCTCACATTATTTTCATCTGAAGTTGCTGATATTGATTACAAGTAGAAGCAGCAAGCTGTTATGGAAAAAAAAACCATTGAACTAGGAGTACAAAGTGATGAGTTCTAGTCTTAGATTTATTATAACTACATGTGTAATTTCAAATGAGAATCATAATATTTGGAGGCTGCCAATAGGCAGTAACACTTGAGAAGATCAGATAGGATTTAGTATATGAAAGCATTTTGTAAACTCAACAACACCATACAAATACAGTCATGTGTCACTTAATGTAATGATAAAGATATGTTCTGAGAATTATATCATTAGGCAATTTTGTAGCACAAACCTCATAGAGTGTACTAATACAAACCTGGGGTACATAGCCTACTACACACCTATATGGTACAGCTTATTCCTCAGGCTATAGACTTGTGCAACATGTTACTGTACTGACTGATGTAGGCAATTGTAACATAATTATAAGTATTTGTGTATCTAAACATAGAAAAAATAATAAAAATATGGTACAAAAGATAAAAACAGTACACATATATTGAGCAATCACCATGAAGGGAGCTTGCAGGACTGGAAGTTGCTCTTTTGGGTGAGTCAGTGAATTAGTGGTGATTGAATGTGAAGGCCTAGAACACCATTCTATACTACTGTAGATTTTATATAAACACTGTACACTTAAGTTACGCTAAATTTATGAAAAATAATTTTCTTTCTTCAATAATAAATTAACCTTACTTTGTTACATAGTTATACACACATACTGTAACTTTTTTACTTTACAAACTTTTTAATATTTTTTAACTTTTTGACTCGTATTGAGACATAACTTAAAACACAGACACATAGCTGCCCAGAAATATTTTCTTTCTTTATATCTCTATTCTATAAGCTTTTCTATATTTATTTATTTATTTTTAAATTTTTGTTGTTGTTGTTAAAAACTAAGATAAAAACACAAACATTACCCTAAGCCTACCCAGGGTCGGGATCGTCAGTATTACTGCCTTCCACCTCCACAGCTTGTCTCACTAGAAGGTCTTTAAGGACAATAACACGCTTACAGCTGGCATCTCCTATACAATATCCTCTTCTGGGTATCTCCACAAATGACTTCCCGAGGCTACTTTATAGTTAACTTTTTTTTAAATAGTAAAAGTACACTCTGAAATAATGATAAACAGTACAATATAGTAAATACATAAGCCAGTAGCATAGCCATTTATTATCATTATGAAATATTATGTACCGTACATAATTGTATGTGCTCTACTTTATATGAAAGGCAATACCGTATGTTTGTTTCCACCAGCATCCCTATAAACACATACTGCCTTGCACTAGGATGTTATGATGGCTACAGTGTAACTAAGAGATTCGGATTTTTTAGCTCTATTATAATATTACTAGGCCACCATTGTATATGTAGTCCATCATTGACCACAACGTTATGCTGGGCATAATGGTATACAACATTACTACGGTTACATTCTGCAAAGGACCTTTCTATTCTTAAACAAGGTTAGATGACATTAGTAAATAAAATTCAATGTTCTCTGTGTACCTCACAAAGCAAAGAGACAAAATTTTATTGATGAGCAATCTAAGGTCAACTGCTGACTCATTTTAGCAGAAATTGGCTTACATTATAATAGATGTGCCTATTTATAATTCTGAGAGACTCCCTAAGGAGAATCATATTGAACTAGATGGCATTTTTACCAGACGGAATTCGTTTCCACAGAAATAAAAGTGAATGTTAATGTGTATGACTCCAATCATAGTCACATTAATAATTTCAAAACATTTTTAACAAACAATAATAAAAAATGTTTACCCATCTTCTCATGCCGGGTCAATAGTAAATCTAGAAATCTTTCATCACTGATTCAAAATCTTTAATATGAAACAGCATCAATGTGGACAAAAGTAGAAATTTTCAGCATTGAAAGTGCTGGTATAAATGCAAACATCAAAATATAGTTGAACTGATAATGAGCCTTAGGTGAATAGTTCCCAAAGGAATTGACCTAGAAATACTGGAAAAAATACTGATGAACATTCAAGTTCCTATTGTGACTGCACCACAGAAAATATGCTGTTATTAACTAACTTAATTTAAGAGTTTCTGACATTCATATGTTATTCCCAGATTGTGGAACTTCAGTTTCGTTTTCATTTCTAAGTGTTTGGAAAGTACACATAGTGTTCCAGAAGAAATGATGTTAAATTCATTGGTTATCATTTCACAGAGTGATTGTGTGGAGAAAGAACATAGAAATACTTCCTGTTTAATTAAGTTTAAAAATCTTTCTTACACTGTAAAATACCAAAGAGCATTTGTGATATTATTTTTATTTTATTTTACGCAGATACTTTATTTTACTGCAGATACATATAAAAAGGCATTTATAATTAAATTTCAGTATTTGTGCCATCCAAAGAGATATATGTGAAGACATTAAATTAAAAAAAGATATATGGAGACAAAGGATTTCTCCAGAGTGCACATTCCAAACAAATGTGTCTGTTATAATTTAACGAATTTAAAAAAAATATTAAGCCCAGACACATAGATATTTTTAAATGAGTTCAATGTTTTTCATCTTTGATATGAAGGCTTTGAGCATGCAGTGATACCAAAAAAAAATCTGTTGTGAGAAGTCATGAAACATAAAGCTAGTAAAAAAAGATTCCAGGGCCGGGCGCAGTGGCTCACGCCTTTAATACCAGCACTTTGGAAGACAGACGTGGGTGGATCACCAGAGGTCAGGAGTTCACGACCAGCCTGACCAACATGGTGAAACCCTGTCTCTACTAAAAATACAAAAATTAGCTGGGCGTGGTGGAGGGTGCCTGTAATCCTAGTTACTTGGGAGGCTGAGGCAAGAGAATCGCTTGAACCCAGGAGGTGGAGGTTGCAGTGAGCCGAGATAGCACCATTGCACTCCAGCCTGGGCAACAAAGAGTGAAACTCCATTTCAAAAAAGAAAAAAAAGAAATTCCAGGATGGAGACATAGTGAAAATATCTTGGATAATAACTCCCAGAAAAAAAAGGCATTTTATGGAGAATAGTCCTTTTCCCTATCAGGGTAAAAGCAAAAAACAAACAAAAATTAACCTTTTAGTTTTATTGGAATGATTAATTTTATGAATCTGGGCCTCATTCCATTCTCCAATAATATCTAAAACAAGGCAATATTAATCACCTAACAGTTATCTGAGAATAGAAATTTAAGAAAAGTTTAAGATGTCTTTTACAAAAGAAATCTTAACATGATTTCTGCAAAGAACTAGTATCAATATTTTATCAACTGTTTAGTCATCACTTGGACAAGTCACAGAATGATTTACTTTCAGAATGACCCCAAATTAAAGGGACTTGACAGCCTCCAGGTTCTCCATCTTTGCTGATTTTAGAACTATCTGGACAAGCAGGACTTGGTGACCAGACAATGCCTGGCTCTCATGGCATCTCTAGCTGCTTTTCCCTTTCACATCCACTGTGCCTCCAATCTCCTTTCAAGAGCCAGCTCTGTCAAAAGTTGGGAAGGCTTCATAGATGGGTGAGTTCTTGAAAGTCCCTACATGCAGAGCATCTACCTAGAAAACATCCTCTGATTTGTGTTGAAACAGAAGTAATTGATTTCCATTCTGCTTTTAAGCTGCCTAAACTCCAAGAAACAAAACCTACTGCGTAACAACTTCAAAGGGGATGATAAGCCACAATATGAATACTGCTCCATGAAATTATTATTGATGGTACATTTCTGCCTGAATTTAAATATCACAGAAGTCACATAATTTCACTTTGAAGATGAAAACATCATTTAGCAGAGACCTGTAATACAGATTATTGTCTAGTAGTACTGCCAGATACCATCATTTTACAGATGTTCTATTGTAATTTTAGTGCATCACCAGAAAGTCTTATACGAACAATAGCAGTTGTTATCATCCTAAACCTCATATCTGGCAAAATTCTTATGTCTGGCCCGGAAGACTTTAGATCCAATATTATAGGGAAATATGTTATTTTTCACATTTTAAAATTATTATTCAAATTAATTCGTTAAAAACGTTTTTAAAGGCAAAAATAATTTCATTCTCTTGGTCTTACTCTTTCATTCTCTCCCATGGACACAAACATACACATATTGTAAACATGAAGCAATATAAATAGTATAATAAAGTGAGCATTGTTTTTGAGTTTCTTATAATTTCAGAAAAAAAGAGGGGAAATCAGAAAGAAAACTGTCACATTTCAAATGTTATGTTTACCATTCCAATTATTGTTGTGTAATAGCTGAACCTATACATTGAAGAAACAATTCAGCTGCATGCGTTGTCAAAAAAAAAAAACAAAAAACAAAAAAAAAACCTTGCTATGACTATACAGAGGATTTTACCTCTGTATAGAGGTAATATACTATTACCAGGCCCAAGCACTGGTAATAGTACTTCTGTATTTAAAAAAATGTATGCGCACACACACACATATACACACAAATTCAGACACACATTGAGCATTGACCTCTGGTTTTACATACTCTTACAGACTGAAATTCAGGTTGGTGTTGGTATATATCTGAAAGACAGATTTGAGGAAGCAGATTTTTGGTTCAAAGTTAATACAATAACTTGGAGATTTTAGTTTATTCTGTTTAACACAGGTTTATTCAAACGTGTACTAAAAAATAGTGACTGAGATTTTATTATGTGCCAGGCTTCTCTTATTTTCTTCTTCTTTTTTTTTTCTTTTTTCAGGTACTTGGGGGGTTAATAATCAGAAGACAGATTTGCTGCTTCTGCATTACTTGTATTCTCGTTCTATACTTGGTAGAGAATAAATGATGCTGGGTGGGGAGGGAAGGCTTTACAGAAATAAGCATATGTTCCATCTTTGCAATGAATTATATATTTCTGAGTGGGAAAAAAGTCAATGCTGCCTTCTAATGTTGCTTCTATGAAAAATACAAATAAAATGCATTTAGATCTATTACTCTTAAAATAAGGAGCACCATGCCTTTTAGCTTATTTGTGGCCAAGGACAAAGATAACATAGAAAGTTTAATTCATTCAGTAAAGGGTTGCAGGCCAATTGACAATTTTTTTTTTTTTTTTTTTTGCTATTTCATTTGGTGGCATATTTGAAAAGTTACTTGAATGCCCAAAGGAGAATACCCAGTTTCTTTTACCCCTCTGAGCAGGCTTTACTCAATTCTCCATGTCAGAACAAACCTCCAGCAAAGCTAATTGGTTACCAGCACTGCTCCCACAAATGCACACACATGCATGCTCTGTGTGTTTTCAAATCTAAAGCTCTGATTTTCTTTCTTTTACTCAGATTGATCACTTTGATCCATTTGGGGTATCTTGACTTATACATACTACTAAAAAAAGACTTAATACACAGATTTTTTTATTGGAAATACAAATTCAAAATGAATTAGATACCAGATTCTTATGCGAAGCTGTCATTTAATGTTTGGGAATTCACAATATGTTAATTGCTTCTCATAACATACAGAAGTCATCATGTATACTTTGCAACTTAAAAGTCAATGATAAGTATGTCCTGCCTTTGAAAGATAAGGTGCATACACATATTTTATTTTCTTCAATTACATGAATCAAGACCTAAATAGAGCCTGGTGAAATAAGATCAATGTGTATTCCTTAAAAAAGAAGTGATAAGAATGAACGTAGTCCTTTAAAAAGTTCATTTCATTCTTCAGAGGGCATACAGTACGAATAGTGGTAGATAAAATGAAAACAGAAATTCTAAGAAAGAGTACTCTGATACTTGTACCAATACGCCATGTTCTGTTCTGTGCTGAAAATGTTCCTGGCTCTGCTCTAATCTGGTGTTTCAGTTACACAGTCATTTTTCTTTCATGAAAGATGTGGGAGGGTTTATATACTCTCTTAGCAGCCTAATGGCCAAAGAAGTGAAGGCCAAAATTGTTAATCAATAGATCAGTAAATAAGACTTTGTAAATTTACAAGGAGAGTTTTTATGCTGTACTCTTCTCTGTTTCAGCTAGGTCACCTGCATTTTTTTCAATATGAGAGTTAGATGGAGGCAGGATATAGGTACAGTACTAGTATAGGTTTTTGAATTTTCATTAAACTCAAAACACCTGAAGTTATACTTATTTCCCTTGTTCCTACAAAACGTAAGATATTTTCTTGTAGAGAGGCAATTTGAAGGCTAATCCTAGTTTAGAAATTATAGAAGAATTTATGTAATATTAAAATATAATGAATTAAGGATGTGAACTCTTTGATAAGTCTAATTCTATGTGTGTCTAATGCACGGATGGCCTCTTGTGCTTAATTTAAAGCAATCACTGTCATAGAGAGAATTTCCCTTCACTCTATTGCATTTGAAGAAAATGATTCAAATCTTCAAATCAGACATTTAAAAAATGAATGCTCAAGTAATCGGCAAGTAAGTTTTGTGGCACATTATTTTCCACTAACAAATCTGCCCCATAAAGGATACTGTTCTGCCCCAAGGATATTTTTTCAGAGCATTTTTATTTACCTTATTTTCCTTTCCCTTAGGAGGTTTTCTTTTGGGCTCATATGAAAGTATCTTTTATTTTTTCCAGAGATCCATGTGCCACCTGCTCTTTTGAAAACACTAATAAAATAAAATATCTCTAAAAAGTCCAATTTCTCCAGTAGGGCAATAATGCTAAGCTAGTTTATAATTGTAAAAATAAAAATAATTCTGCTTTTGGATTTTATACATGTTTTAGGATGATAAATTTTATGTCACAGAAAATTATAAAACTTCATGTACAACCAAGGTACATGTACATATTAGTGATATATTCTGCCTAGGTCTTTTTCTTTTAAGTTATTTTTTGTTTCTTATTTCTTTGTTGTTGGCAGCCATTATGTTGGTGGTTTGACTTTTATTAGCGTTGGAGGGAAGAAAAACTGCACTTGCATGTTTTCTCAAGTCATATGAGAAAAGGCTAACTATCACACCCATTTGTCTGATTTCTGTGGCACCTGTGTACCAAATGATGGGAATGACATTAGAAGCCAGCTGATGGGGACACTTTTTGTTGTTTATTGTAATGGATGGGCCTATAAAGAGTCAGTGATTTCAATTATGACTTGCTACAGCTATGACGAGATGAAGGTGCCATAAAATTGATGTATCCATTTCTTTTTTGGATAGACAAACATAAAATGTCATGGCCACCAGCCTTGTTATTTGAGTTATAAAAGTTAAAAATTTTTTACCCTCTCATTTGTTTACATATCCTAACATGTTTTAAGTTATCACACTTGAGTTTTTGTGAACTTTATTTTATTTCAGCTTGAATAAAACTACTGTATTAGTTAACTTTCCATAATAATAATTATAATGCAAGGAAGATTAAGGACACACTAATTTATTTGCATTGTCCATGTCCCGGAAACACAGAGCATGATACTGGAGTGTTTTCTTCCATAAAAATGAGTTTGTTCATGTCAATGAAATTAATTTACATTCATATCTTTTCAAGCCTGTAGTGTTTTAGAAAGTCTGATATCAACTTACATATCTGAGAGAAGTTAAAATTTAAAGATGTAATTTGTAATTTAAGGTTAACATATGGATTTACTTTTATTTTTTACATATATCATTTAAGTTTGTTCTTCACTGAAGATTCAAAAAAAATGAAATCAATAATCTGGCCATGTGTTCTGAGAATTAGTTCAAGGATTTTTAATGCTTTATAAGTACTTTGGTAAGGACCTCTGTACCAGAATCTTCAGTCTAGAGCATTTAGCAATTTAAAGTTACTGGAGCACTTCAGAAATTGGAATTCCAATTTGAAAGAATGAAGTTCTCCTAAAAACCTGAAGCACTCCAATAATTTTAAATTATTTCTACTTTGGAAGTTTACAGTCTTCACTACTTATAAAAAGAGGCACTTATAACAAAAGGGAAAGTACCACAAAAATTTCAAATCACTTTGTATAGTGCAGGGCAATTTTAAGTCATTGAAGTACTTATAGATTTTACCATTTCATTTGAAGGCTTCCAATTTGAAAGGAAGTAAAGCAGCTTTTATAATATGACAATTCAAAATACACTAAGAAATTTCAAATTTAACCAAAACTATGGTGAAAAGTAGAGTGCATATATTAGAAAAAAATGTAAAAATTAAATAATGTATATCCTCCAAAATATAAAAGGGAATTAAACTGTCCTATAAATTGCTTCGTTGGCATAGAACAGCAGAATGTGTGTAAGGGGTAACATCCATGTGACAGTAGTGCCATATTTTAAAAGTAATAACTCAGAAAGTAGTTATTCAATTTTATGAGGAAAGGTTAAAAAAACAAGATTGACATGCTTGGTTTTAATATTTCATCCAGTGGTATACTGGAGTCTGCTCATAAAGGCTCACAAGAATCAACTGTGCATATATCTCTCCCCAGTTTTTTATTGTTCAGCAATGTTATGATGATAGCCTGAAACCAGCCATGGTAGGAATATTTACACCATGGAAATTGACAAATGCTACAAATTAGGGCCTTTTTCCTTTTGAGAGTCTATTGTTAACATTTACCAGCTTACCAATCGTTATATCCAATTTACTTCTATGATAGGTGTTTTCAATTTTAAGGGAACGGGACTCACTCAATTTGCCTCAAGTAATGCAGAAATAATGGCAGTGATGAAAAAAAATAAGGGAAAAAATAATTCTCAGCAAAGATTAGAGTCTCAGGCCAAGTGGGAAGAACAGAACAAATAATCAAAAATTAAGACCATCACTGAATGACAACTCAGAAGTCAGTGATTCAGAATCCAATGCAGCTCTAGGTTCCTCAGAAGTAGCATCTTAGTTTAGGATACCTTAACTAGCCTTCTGTTTTTTTTTTTTTCTTGTTGTTGTTTTATTTTTATTTTATTTCATTTTTTTACTTCCATAGGTTTCTGGGGAACAAGTGGTGTTTGATTACATGAGTAAGTTCTTTAGTGGTGATTTGTGAGATTTTGTTTATGTAACTCTACGATTATCTTTCCATTACTAACTGGTTTCTTCATACTCTACTCTGCAATTTTTCTCTATGCCATAGTTTATGTTTACTTATGATTTTTGCATCACTCATAACCCAGTTTTATACGTGTGTCATAAGATCCTCTCCTGTCTCATGGGTGCATCTGTGTGCCTGTGCATCCTTCCATTTTCAGTCTTTGTTGCCAAATAAATGATTTTTTTGGCCATATTTCCAAGTCAAAAGTCCTGAGGTTGGGAAATCTGGTGAGCCAATTTTTGCGATGAACAACTGTCATAAAGGTCCTCTCATTGGAACTACTGAATGTCATACAATTTACTTGTTTATTGAGTATCTTCTTTAGGTGTTATTGGAAACAATGCTAACTAAGATTATCCCCAAACACAAGAAATTATTAACCTAGTTGATTATAAAAAATCTAGTTGACTAAATGATTATAGTAAAAAAATGAAATAAGGTAAGTAAAATAGAAGTACAAATATAGTACTATGAACTTTCAAAGAAAGGAGAATATATTTATGGCTACATAAAAGCAGTTTCCAAATAGTTTAAAATGTTTTTGCAGATAGTAATCATTGACGAAGCAAAGCTTAAGAAGACAACATTCTAGGCAAAAGGTGGAAAGAAGAAACTGAATGTTGTTTACATTTATGTTTATTTGATAATGTATATGCAAGAAGCAAAAACCATTTAAAAATGATATTAATGTATAAAAGCCTCCAAAAAATTCAAAGATAATTTAGCTTCTAGGTAATATAATTATAAGTATTTCCAATTCTATATGTCTTACCGTCTCAGATGTTTTTATAATGCATATATCGTGCATTTATAGGTTTTAAAAATGAAATTTAAACAAAAAAATGAGTTATGAATTCAACCTGTCTGACTGGAATAATGTATTTTTTTAAAAAAATAAGAATATTATGAGGAAAAGTAAATGTGATGGACATAGATCATGATTAAAACATTAACACATTTTTTTTTTCAAGATAGTGATTAGAGGCATGCTTCAGCCCTTAGAAATAGAAAGATAGTGCATAAAGAGAAACTCTATGAGCTGTATTTCAATAAGGAAAATTGGAATTCACCAGAATCATAAAGGACACCCCACATCTCAGGAGGAGGATGCAGGCAAACAGCCCCTGTGATGGCGTCCAGTTGATAAAAGTGAGTGAAGCCCCAGTATGTGAGACAGACAGAGAGCCCTCTGTGACTCACTTTTCTCCTGGGGATCTGAGCAACCCAGTAGGCTGAGGGAGTACGTTTTCTTTTCTCCCAAGCTCTGGAGTTGACTTGCAGAGAGGCTTGGGTACTCTGTGAGGGAAAGACACCAGGAAAAGCTGCTGGGATTTTCCCAGAACCAGGAGCAAGAGCAGGACGCCATTTTTAATCCCGGGGCATACAAAATCAGCCATTCTGTGGTGATCCAGCAGGCTGGTCATGCAGGCATTTTAGTCTTTGGCCAGAAATGGAGTACGTACTCTGGAGTCGGGTAGGGGCCTCCACAGCCAGAACTGTGGAAAGCAGCTCAGCAGTAGGTGTTACAATTATGCTCTCCCCATTGCAGGCCTGAGGCAGAAGGAGAGCTGCTACAACTGCAGTTTCTCCTGGACTAAGACTTGCAGCTACGGCCAGCTTGGCAACCTGGAACTGGTCTGTGTATGTCATTGTTGCCTGCCCCAGCCTGCTCTCCTGAGATAATGATGGAGCAGGGCTCTCTCTACTCCATTCCTAGGCAGATCTCCAGGCATTCAGAGCACTAACTCAACTGGTTAAGCAGCCTGAGCTGCCCCACCCTTCCTAGACACAGATTGTTGTACAGTGAAGACGTCTTCACTCCACACCTAGACAGATTCTCTAGGCATTTTGATTGCCCATTCACCTGCATCAGCAGCCTAAACTGCCCCACACTTCCTTTGCATAGATTGTGGTGCAAGAAGGCCCTTTCTGCTCCATGCCCAGGCAGATCTCCAACCATTCAAAGCACCTGTTTGCCCAAACTGATAGTCTGAGCCACCCCACCATTCATGTGCAGGGATCCTAATGTAGAAGGGACTGCTCTACGCCACACCCAGGCAGATCTCCAGGCACCTGAAGCAGCTGCTTTCTGAATTAGGAGTTTAGGTTGCTCCCATTCTCATACAGAAAACTCAGGGCCAAGGAGGTTTCCCAGCTCCATGCCTTGCCACACCTCTGGATGCTTAATAGCCATCCACTGGATAGTCCCTCAGTATTGGTGCTTTTGCCTGCCACTGGGGGACCTGCAGGTGGACATGCCCAGTCTGGCCCTGCCCATCTGGCTCCTGCACCCAGAAGCTGAGGAGAGAGCTCAGACCACAGTGCACTTCATGAATCAGCCCATTGCCCTAGGCAACAGAGAGGTTCTCCAAGTAAACAAGGATCAAGTACATGCCTAGTCATTACAGGCCACAGACAGCTCTTACCCATAAGTGTCACCTACTGGCTTGTAAGTCAAACTGCACAGTCCAATATAAAACCTGCTGACAGAAGTACATAGGGCTACAGAAGCCAAGCCAAAAAACCTTACCCAGCATTCTCTACAGCCACACACCCCAGGGAAGGAATGAAAGGGAAAGAAGAAACAAGCAATAATATTATCTAGAAAAAAAAGTGCTACCACATGAGAAAATTACAAAAGCTAAGTGTCAGCATCTCTAGATGAGAAGAAACAAGTTCAAGAATTCTGGCACCATGAAAAATCTGAATGTAGTGATGCCAGCAAAGGATCACATGAGCTCTCCAGCAATGGTCCCTAACCAAAATGAAAATTCAAATGACAGATTAAAATTTCAAAGCAAGGATTGTAAGGAAGCTCAATGAGATCCAAGACAAGGTTGAAAATCTACATAAAGAAACTTTTCAAGCAATCTACGAAATGGAGAAGGGATACACACCTTAAAAAGAAATCAGTCAGAGCTTTTAGAATACAAAAACTCACTTAAAAATTTTCAAAATGCAATTGAAAGCTTTATCAATAGACTGGGCCAAGCAGAAGAAATAATTTCAGAGCTTGAAGACCAGTCTTTCAAACTAAACCAGTCAGATAAAAATAGAGAAAATAATTTTTTTAAAAATGAAATTCTTTGAGGAATTCATTTAAAAAAACATTTAAAAAATGAATTTCTTTGAGAAATATTGGATTATGTAAAGTGACCAAACATACAAATTACTGGCATTCTTGAGAGAGACAGAGAAAAAGAAAACAACCTGGAATACATACTTGACATAACAATTCAAGAAGATTTCCTTAATCTTGCTTAAGAGGTAGACATCCAGTTACGACAAATCCAGAGAACACCCGTGAGATACTATATAAAACAGACATCAACAAAGGATATAGTCACCAGGCTATCTAAGATCAACAATAAAGAAAAAATCTCAAAGGCACTTAGAGAAAAGGTCAGATCACTTACAAAGGAAATCTCATTAGGCTCTAGACTTGTCAGATGAAACCTTATAAACCAATAGAGACTGAGGGACTATTTTCAGTATTCTTAAATAAAAGAAATTCCAACTAATAATTTCATATCCTGCCAAACTAAGCTTCATAAGTAAGGGAGAAACAAATTTTTTTGAGGCAAACAAGTGCTAAGGGAATTTATTACTGTCAGACCAAACTTATGAGAAATCCTTAAGGGAGTTCTAAACATGGAAATGAAAGAATGATACCTGCTACCACAAAAATACATTTAAATACATAACTCATAGGCCCTATAAAGCAATAGAAACCACAAAGCAAACAGCTAACAAGTTCATGATAGGTTGAGACCTCACATGTCAATATTAACTTTGAATGTAAATAGTCTAATTGTCCCTCATAAAAGGCACAGAGTGGCAAGTTGGATTAAAAAATAAAACAAACAAACAAAAAAACCAAGAACCATTTGTCTACTGTCTTCAAGAGACCCATCACACCTGTAATGTAATGTCATTCATAACCTCAAAGTAAAGGGTTGGAGAAAGATCTATCATGCAAAACTGAACACAAAGAAGAAGCAGGGGTCACTATTATTATATCAGATAAAAAAGACTTTAAACCAACCAAAGTAAAAAAGGACAAATAAGGGCATTACATCATGATAAAGGGTTCAGTTCAACAAAAGATGCATATATTCCAAGTATATATGCATACCACATTGGAGCACCCAGATTCATAAAACAAGTACTTCTAGACCTGTGAAAAGACAGCCATAAAATAACAGCAGGGGACTTCAACATCCTACTGACAGCATTAGACAGATCCTTGAGAAGGAAAACTAACAAAGAAATTCTGGACTAAACTCTGACACTTGACCAATTGGAGCTAATAGATATCTATGGAATACTCCACCCATGAGCCAGAGAATATACATTTTCCTCATCTGCACATGGACCATATTCCAAGATTGGCCACATGCTTGGCCACAAGGTGAGTCTCAATAAATAAATAAATAAATTGAAATCATATCAATCATACTGTCAGACCATGGTAGAATAAAAATGAAAACCAATACCAAGAAGTTATTTCAAAAACACACTATTATATGGAAATTAAACAACTTGGTCCTGAATGACTTTTGGGTAAACAACAAACTTAAGGCAGAAATAAGCAAAAAGTCTTTGAAATAGGCTGGGCGTGGTGGCTCACACCTGTAATCCCAGCACTTTGGGAGGCCAAGGCGGGTGGATCACGAGGTCAAGAGATCAAGACCATCCTGGCTGACAGGGTAAAACCCCGTCTCTACAAACATTAGCCAGGCATGGTGGCAGGCACCTGTAGTCCCTGCTACTTGGGAGGCTGAGGCAGGAGAATGGTGTGAACCCGGGAGGCAGAGCTTGCAGTGAGCCGAGACGGCGCCACTGCACTCTAGCCTAGGTGGCAGAGCAAGACTCTGTCTAAAAAAATAAAAATAAAAAAAAAAATCTTTGAAATAAAGAAAAACAGACACAACATACCAAAATATCTGGGATACAGCAAAAGCAGTATTAAGAGCAAAGAGCAAAGTTTACAGCACCAAACACTTATCTCAAGAAGTTAAAAAGATTTCAAATGAGTAATCTAACATCACAGCCAGAAGAACTAGAAAAACAAGAAAAAACTAACCCCAAACCTAGAAGAAAAGAAATAACGAAAATCAGAGCAGGACTGAACAAAACTGAGACCCAAAAATCTATACAACAAATCAACAAAACCAAAAATGGTTCTTTGACAGGATAAACAAGATCGACAGATTGCTAGCTAAGTTAGAAAGAAAGAGAGAATATCTAAATAAGCACAATCAGAAATGACGAAAGTGACTATACAACCAATTCCACAGAAATACAGAAAATCCTGAAAGACTATTATGAATACCTATATGCAGACAAACTAGAAAATCTAGAGGAAATAGATAAATTCCTAGAAGCATACAATGTCCCTAGATTGAATTGGGAAGAAATTGAAACCCTGAGCAGATCAATATTGAGTTCTGAAATTAAATCAGTAATAATAAACTTAACTAACGTGATGAAAAAGCTGCAGACCAGATGGATTCACCACTGAATTCTACCAATGTTCAAAGAAGAGCTGGCAACAATTCTACTAAAATTATTGCAAAAAATCAAGGAGGAAGGACTCCTCCATAAATCATTCTACAAAGCCAGCATCACCCTGACACCAAAGCTGGCAAAGACACCACACAGCAGGCCACTATCCCTGATGAACATGGACACACACACAAAAATTCTCAAATTACTAGCAAACTGAATTAGAAGCACATCAAAAAGTTAATTCATCATGATCAAGTAGGCTTCATTCCTGGGATGCAAGGTTGGCTTACCATACGCAAATCAATACATGAGATTCATCACATAAACATAATTAAAAACAAGAACCATATAATCATCTCAATAGACATGGGAAAGCTCTTGATAAAATCTAACATCCCTTTATGATCAAAGCTCTGAAGAAACTAGACATCATAGGAACATACCTCAAAATAATAACAGCAACACATGATAAACTTGCAGCTAACATCATACTGAATGTGCAGAATGTAGAAGCATCCTTCTTGAGAAATGGAACAAGATAAGGATGCCCACTCTCACCACTCCTATACAACATAGTGCTGGAAGTACTTGCTGGATAAATCAGGGAGAAGAAAAAAATAAAAGGCATCCAAATAGAAAAAGAAGAAGTCAACTCTCTCTTTGTTGATGATATAATTTTAGAGTTAGGAAACCCTAAAGACTCTGCCAAAAGTCTCTGGGAACTGATAAACAACTTCAGTAAAGTTTCTAGATACAAAATCAATGTACCAAAATCAATAGCATTTCTATACACCAATAACTTGTATTGCCATGTTAAGAACCAAATCAAGAATGCAATCCCATTTACAATAGCTGCAAAATAAAATACCTAGGAATACATCTAACCAAGGAGGTGAAAGATCTCTACAAGGAAAACCACAAACCACTGCTGAAAGAAATCATAGCTGACACAAACAAATGGAAAAAACATTCCTTGCTCATGAATTGGCAGTCAATATCACTATAATGGCCATACTGCTTAAGGCAATCTACGAATTCAATGATATTCCTATCAAGGTACCAAATAGTTTTTCAAATAACTAGAAAAAATATTCAAAAAGTCATATGAAACCAAAGAAGAGCCTGAATACTCGAAGCAATCCTAAGGAAAAAACAAAGCCAGAGGCATCACATTACCTGACTTCACACTGTACTACTATAAGGCTACAGTAACCAAAACAGCATGGCACTTGTACAAAAACAGACACATACACCAATGGAACAAAATAGAGAACCCAGAAATAAAGCTGCACACCTGCAGCCATCTGATTTACAACAAAGTTGACAAAAATAAGCAATGAGAAAAGGACTCCCTATTCAATAAATAGTGCTGGGATGGCTGGTTAGCCATATGCAGAAGAATGAAACTGGACCACTACATTTCACCATATACAAAAATCGACTCAAGATGGGTTAAACACTTACATGTAAGACCTAAATTCTTCTAGAAGTCTTATAGTTTGAGCTCTTATATTTAAATGTTTAACCCATATTGAGTTAATTCTGGACATCAAACTTGGGAAAGAATTTATGACAAAGTCCTCAAAAACAATTGCAACAAAAAAAACCCAAAAACTGACAAGTGAGTTCTAATTAAATTAAAGAGCTTCTGCATAGCAGTAGAAACTACCAACAGTGTAAACAGACAACCTACAGAATGGAAAAAAAATACTCACAAAGTATGCATGTGACAAGGGTCTAACATCGAGAATCTATAAGGATCTTAATTCAACAAGCAAAAAGCAAATAAGTCCTTTAAGAAATGGGCAAAAGACAGTTGAACAGATACTTTTCAAAAGAAGACACGACACACAAGTGGTCAAAAAAGTGAAAAATTCTCCACATCACTTATGAACAGAGAGCTGCAAATCAAAATCACAATGAGATACCATCTGACGCCAGTCAGAATAGCTATTATTAAAAAGTCAAAAAACAACAGATGTTGGTGAGTCTATGGAGAAAAGAGAATGCTTGTACACTGTGGTGGGAATGTAAATTAGGTAAATTAGTTCAGCTACTGTGGAAAGCAGTTTTCAGATTTCTCTGAGAACTTAAAACAGAACAATCATCTGACCCAGCAATCCCATTGTGGGGTATATACCCAAAGGAAAATAAATTGTTCTACCAAAAAGACACATGAACTTATATGTGCATTGCAGCACTATTTACAATAGCAAAGACATGGAATCAACCCAGGTCCCATTAACAGTGGATTGTATAAAAAATGTCATATGCATACACCATGGAATACTATTCTGCCACAAAAAGAAATGAAGTCATGGTCTTTGCAGCAACGTGAATGTAGCTGAAGGCCATTATCCCAATCAAATTCATGCAGGAACAGGGAACCAAATACTGCAGGTTTTCACTCATAAGTGGGAACAAAACATTGGGTACTCAGGAACATAAATGGCAATAATAGACAATGGGGACTACTAGAGGGAGGAGGAAGAGAGGGATGCAAGTGCTGAAAAACCAACTATTGAGTACTATGCTTAGTACCTGGGAGACAGGATCAATCATTCCCCAAACCTCAGCAGCATGTAATATCCCCAGGTAACAAGCCTGAACAAGTACCTCTGAATCTAAAATAAAAGTTGAAATTATTTTTTAAAAATTATCTTAAAAAAAGAAAAAAGTACATGAGTAATTTCCTTTAAAACAATGAGGGTTTTACTACTTTACAGCAAGTAATGGAAGATCCTTTTCTTCAAACGTTCATCTTATTAGCTAAAGTATTTTCTACATGAAGAGCTTGGTTAAGATTTTGAGGTGAACAAATTACCATTCCTGCATGTTCTCCATTACTTTCTGCTTTGTCCTTTTCCTACCCAGTCATAAAACGCTTTGGGGTGCTCCCATCATTGTTTCATTTGCTCAGCATCCTCAGAATGTTTTTTAGGTGCCCTGAGTTTTCTCACACAATCTTATTCTCTGACCTTTTTTATCCACCTGTCACTGTTTATCCATCATTCTTCCATTCCCTCTAGGTCCTGCTTTCTGCTGGATAAAGACAAAGAGTAGTAATGACTTACAATAAGATAAAAAAAAAAAACAATGCTACAAGGTTAATTGACTATTATAATATCCTTTCCATTTACCCAATGCCTTTAATTGTGTAAAAATGCACATATCCATCTTCATCTCCATCACTCTCATCTTACTCCAAGTTACCATTCTTTCTCATTTAGACTACTGCAAATAATTTTCTTACACCTGTCTTATCCACTAAGTGATCCACAAAAATATAAATTCAGAAGTAAATAAAAATGAATACACAAATCAGACCACTTTTTCTTCTGTTTAAAAAAGAAAAATCAGTGGCTTCAAAATTCTCTAGAGAAGAATTCAAATAACTTGCCTGGCCTGGCTGGGCACCGTGGCTCACGCCTGTAATACCAGGACTTTGGGAGGCCGAGGTGGGTGGATCACCTGAGGTCAGGAGTTCGAGACCAACCTGGCCAACATGGTGAAACCCCATCTCTACTAAAAATACAAAAATTAGCCAGACGTGGTGGTACATGCCCATAATCCCAGCTACTTGGGAGGCTGAGGCAGGAGAATCACTTGAACCCGGGAGGCAGAGGTTGTAGTGAGCCGACATCACACCACTGTACTCTAGCCTGGGCGACAGAGTGAGACTTCGTCTCAAAACAAAAACAAAAACAAAAACAAAAACAAAAACCAAAACCCCACACAACTCTCCTGGCCTAAAGGGCCCTGACTGATCCAGGCCCTGCCTATAACTCCTGTCTCTTTATTTACCACTTTGTCACTCAGTGTATTCCAGACATACCAGCATTCTTTCTTTCCATTTCAGCCATTTTGTTCTGTCTGCTCTCTCAGCCCAGAGTGCCTGGATCAAATCTTCCTGTGATCGGCTCCTTGTTGTCCTCAGGCCACGTCTCTAATGTCTGCTTCTCAAGAAGGCCTCCCCTGACTGCACAAAGTAGCCCCTCTTATTGCTTCTGTCTCTAACAAGAAGTCTCTCTTTTGCTTGTTTATTTCTTTCTTTTCTTTTTCTTTATTTCTCTTTTTTTTTTTTTTTTTTTTTTTTTTTTTGAGACAGAGTCTCGCTCTGTCGCCCAGGCTGGAGTGCAGTGGCGCAATCTCGACTCACTGCAAGCTCCGCCTCCCAGGTTCACGCCATTCTTCTGCCTCAGCCTCCCGAGCAGCTGGGACTACAGGCACCCGCCACCATGCCTGGCTAATTTTTTTTTATTTTTAGTAGAGACGGGGTTTCACCGTGTTAGCCAGTATGGTCTTGATCTCCTGACCTCGTGATCCACCCGCCTCGGCCTCCCAAAGTGCTGGGATTACAGGCGTGAGCCACTGCGCCTGGCCTGTTTATTTCTTTATTATCTCTCTTTCCCTCCACTAGGAGAGATGTCTCCCGATAGCAGGGATCTCGTCTGTATTGGTCATTGCTATACCACCAGAGGTAGGCATAATTAGGTTTGGTTTTTCTATAATATAAAAGATCAAAGTACACAGTGTCTACAGTGGTTGTAGACAAATAGACATTTATTCCTCTCATATAAAAGAAATGTGGGGGATAGGTGGTCAAAGCTCATATGATAGCCCCCATGATCTAAAAACATAGGCTTCAATCTTTCTGCTCCACTATCCTCAACACACAACCTCCAACTACAAAGTTGCACCATGGTCAAGAAAGCTGCTATTGCACCAGCGCTGAGGTACCATACTTCCAGGAAGACATATGTAATAATTCCTTTGCATGTCACTGGCTAGAAGTAGTCACATGGCCATACCTTACTGCAAAGGAGGCTGGGAAATGAGGTACTTATTTTGTGTGGCAATGTAGAATCAAACGTCAAGCTGCATTACTGAGGAAGAAAAAAATTGATATTGGGTAGCAACATCTTCCACAGGATATATGGTTAGTTAGATTCTGTAGTTTATTGGAGTAATAAAGGGCTTTTTTTTTGACTCTGTATTCATTCTTTATGCTAAGTAGTTGCAAGATGACTGCCTAAAATTCCTTTGTTCACATCCAGGGGAAGACAGGGAATGAGGTTGAGTCACCTCAGGTTGTTTCCTAAATAGGGAGAGGGGGTTTCTTTCTTATACTTCCCAGAAAATGTCTCCTCCAATTGTATGGATCATAACAGAATCAACAACTATACCCAAGGGAAGAGACTAAGATAAATCATATGCATCTTCATACAACTAGAACTTTGAGTTACCTTACCCCATAGCAAATGGACTACGGGTAGGAGCTATGGATACCTGATTGGCAATCAGAATAACTACCAAGAACAAGGGTATGGAAGTTGGCCAGGCCATTTTTGGTGGCACATGTTTCTCAACTCAGATCATATCACATATACATGTTGAGTGAAAAGAGAGCCATCTCCTAATTTTCTTCATTTTCTTCTTTTCTTGTTCTTATCAACTAAAATCCATACAAATTCAACAACTATGCTGGCCAACATGGAAGTCATTAGCCATATGTGGCTATTGAGCATTCGAAAACTAGCTAGTCTAAATTGAGATATGCAGTAAGTGTAAAATATACACTGGAATTCAAAGACATTATGAAAAAGAGAATGTAAGTATCTTCTTAATAAATTTTACACTGATTACATGTGAAAATATTAGTATTTTAGATATATTGGGTTAAATAAAATATCTTTTTAGAATGAATATATTATTAGAGTTACAATTACTAAATTTTAAAATAACTTTTTTCTTTTTACTTTTCGTATGGCTACTAGAAGATTGCAAATTATGTATGTAGCTTACATTATATTTCAGTTAGACAGCACTAATTGATAACACTTTCTATGTCACCTTACATGAACTCTCTACCTTGAGTTCATCTACCTTCAAGCAAAATTGAACTATGTGCCACTAATAAGCTCTAATTCCATATCTGAATTCCCCATCTTTACTTACCTTTCGAGCTCTTGCTCCAATGCCATCTCATCAAGAAAGACTTACTATGATTCCTTTACAATGAGAAGTCATATCTTCCTCTTCTCCAATACCATACGACTTTACCTGTGCAGTTTTACGGCAGAGAACACCTTTTCTATATATCAGAGTGAATTGTTTACATGTTTTAACACTTCTATAGACCTCCTGCTTTCTTTTCTGGGGAAATGTGGTGGTTCTGTATATTTGTATTCTACCTTAATTCCTTGGCTGTGATAAGAGTTTGGCAAAGCATCTGTGGATGAGAGAATATATAGTGCTGCTGTGAAAAACAAAAAGGGACAGATAGGCCTATTCTAGAAGAAAGGCTGAAAATAATGGAGTGAATCCTGGAGAAATAGCAAGGGCCAAGAAAGCTTTGAAAGTGATGAAATACTAGTTGAGTGCCGTAAAGAAAAAGAATACTTCCTATAAAAGCAAAGAGTATGCTGTTGAGAATCCACATCATTCAAACAGTCTAGATCTAGGCTTTTTATCAAATGCTTTATTTTCAACATATGCTTGAACTGAAATGGTTCAAGGAAAAACAGTCTCAGACTTGGCCTTATTATAAAAATTTGGAAAATTACTTCTGAGTGTCTCAAATCAGTTCAGTCTAAAATGCTAGTGAAGTGTTCATGACATTTTAGCATTCAGGGGTCCCTTGAGAGCAAGAGTAAAGAAAATCTATGCAAAACTTCTCCTTAGGGTCAATTTCCCTTCATTAATTGTACTTAGAACTACTAGTGCTTCCTAAAGCCTGAATGGTTTTCTCGATCTGACTTCGTGGTAGAATTGTTAGGTTCCAAGAGTGCTCCAGAGAGCCTTCTAGCTGACTCTATTTTTCTGCACTTAGATAGCCAAGGACCTCAAAGCTGTTAAGACTAAATAGAGGCTATGCATGATAGTCTAATTCAAGGTCAAGCTATAAACTATCCTCTATTGGGCCACAGTTGCCAGGAAAAAAGTTCATGGGCATTAAAACATTAGAAATGGTTGAATATTCCTGAGCACTTAAATTGGGAACCAATAGTTATAGAATATTATTCTTTAGTTATTCCTCAGAAGATCTTGTTTACATTTAAGGTCAAAACTATTATCTTCAACAGATTCAATTTGTACTTTTTGTAAGATTCTCAATACCTATGGTATTTATTTAATTTATATCATTTAATTATATCATTTAATTTATAATTAAATGATAATTTAATCACAATTCGTGCTTATATTATAATTTAATTATGATAATTATATAATTTAATTATAATTTGTAATTACTTTTATATCATTAAATATTATTTAATTTATATCATTAACACATTAGTTACTCATTGTAACTATAGTGTTCTGAAATAGCTTACAGCACTGTAAGACAAATTTAAAATAAGTAAGAGAAATTGGCCAAAAAAATAGGTAAGTAAACTCTAATACGAAGTTATATTGAGCACAGCATGCATACTGTGAAGAACTTTATACTTGCTAGATGTGGGCTACATATTTCAAAATAAACAACATTTTCAGTAGTCAGTTGTAAAATTGCATAATCACAATTTATAACAAGTGGGCATTTGTTTCCCAATCCATCTGTCAATGTGATATAGTTTCTCTCTCTTCAATCATTTACTCTTTTTTTAAGGTATATCTGTTTCCCAGGCAGCATGGCTATAGAGGAACTATCTTTTTTTCCTACATAAACTTCCACCTGTTTCATTTAGAATAGCAGATATTCATTACATCATTGGAAAAAGTAACTGAAAGTGAAGGTAAATCCCTTTAAAACACATCAAATTTTTATGGTAAATATTATAAAGCAAGAATAAAAAAATAAAAATAAGTTGAGATGTTAGTAAAAAAAATTTATGAGATGTTTACTTTTATTTAAAAAATTTTGTTTGTAGTGTAACTATACATCAATTCTTAGAACTGTAGACTGAATTACATGCTGATTTTTCCAACTAAAATTTAAAAGAGGACAAAATGATATTCTGTCAATGATTTGGTATGATATGAGTAATTCTACAACATTTCTTACAGAAACTATGAAATCACATCTTGCAAAAATTGAAATTTTAGTTTGCAATTGATTTGCATTAAAATTAAATTTTAAATTAATTTAAATTAATTTTAAATTATGGCTCATACCCACTATAAGCCATAATCAGTGAGAGACTGACTAATAAAAAGCTGTGGTTGGACTGGTGGGGATAAATGCTACTGCAAATTATGTGGGGTGATTCATGGAGACTAGTTTTCGAAAACATTAGTTTATTGGAGAATATTTTTCCTTTAAAGCAACCTTTAGTTCTCCATCAATGTCACACTTGGGTACTTAGTAAATATTCAGGTAATTAGTATGACCTTACGTTAACTAGTTAATTAACTTTATTTGTTGCTTTTTGATAGATTTTGTTTTCCCATGCTAGAATTCTGCTTTTAATTCCACATTTAATTATTCAGGTAGCTACAGTCACATTATCTCCAAACCGTTTTTCGGCTGATGAAATTGAACCCAGCATTTTCCCTGTTCTCGCCTACTTGGTGATATACTGTACGTTTCTACTGATTAAGTAACTTTCCTTGGTAGGCATCGACTCTTATAATTTATTAGATTCTAAACTATGCACCAGCTCAGAATTTCAGGTTACATAGTTAGGTAAGAACAATGTGTAAATTTCTTTTCTAAAACTTAATTTCTAATAAGAGTCTCCGTTCTGCATCCAAATTCCAGAGACTTAAATAATCTCCCAGTATGAGGAGATCATACATCGTTTCTCATTTTGCAATGCAAGGTAACTGTAAATAAAACTTCCTTTTAGAGATTTCTTTGTTCCTGGGCACATAGGAAAAAATTCCATTGTTGTGGGAAACTCATTGAGGCTGCCTAAAAACATGAACCACCCCAGTGCAAGTCCCCTTGTCCCCTACACTAGCAACTAAGGGCTCTGTGATGTTGGCTTAGGCCTTCTATCCATCTCTAATACAGGCTAACCAGCTATTTCTGTGGTACAGCTTCTGCACCTTGTGGGAGGGCAGGAGAACTCTGGGGTCTGGTTATTTTTGTGGACTCTTTTCAGGAATGTAGCACAAGGCCTTTCTGCTCTTATACCCGCAAATATATCTGGGGAAAGTGTATTATTCTCTTACCCTGAAAGACATTATTTAGAATTGGCGTGAGAAAAAAACAAAAACAAAACTGGAAAAACCCAAATCTCTAAATTTAGATGTTTGGTGAGAAAATCTAGGACAAAGCACTGAAAAATTCTAAATCAATTGAGACTACACATACTGTATAAGTTAGAGGAACGGAGGCATGGAATAGAAATTCAGATCAGCTTCAGGAAGAGACAGTTTTTTTCCATGTATATCTGAGTTTTTGCCCTGAAATGTGTTCCTTCTAATATACATATCTAATTATGTCACTTCTTGTTCTAAAACCTTCAAGGACTTTCTACCATATATAATACAGAATAAAGTTCATATTCTTTAAACTGATTCTCAAAATCCTTCTGGTTAGACTTCAAGCTTCATTTTTAGACCATTTCTCTCTATACTATAGGCTACAAACACAATTATCTATACAGTTTGCAAACAGATAGAGAAGCATACATACTTCTACCCTGGCTGCTCTCTATAAGTGATGCATGGGATGAGCAATAAATGCCCAAGAACTTGGAAAGAGAGAAGTACGGCTTCCTGCTCTGTGAGAGTCAAACTCTAAATAAACATACAGCAGAACAAAGATGTACAAAATGTTCTTAAAGGAACAAAATGTCATCAGATTAAGATTTGCATAACCTAATTGTTAACTTGAACATCATCAAACATTTTTCTTAAATCTTTAGCAGATTAAAAAAAGATCAGTGACAGAGCATTGATAGAAAAGAGAAAGCTAGGGAGCAAACATTGACTGAGAGTCCATTGTACTGCTCAAAAGAGAGTGCCTTGTAATCACAATTAGCATATAATTAAGTTGTTTCTTTAATGAAGATGGAAGGATACAGCTACCAGGCCTAATGATGCAACCCTAGTATTTAATATTTGTGAGAATAGGACCTTGTTTTTTCATTTTCACTGTTGATTTCCTCAGTGCCTACAACAGTGAGTGGCAAATTGATGCACTCAATATTTGTTGGAAAATTAAGTCTCATTAACCCCCACAGCTCCAATTCTGTGTGTTCCTGGCAATCTTTTAATTATGATGTAGCTTTTTATATAGCTTTGGCAACAAGGAGTGAATGTACCTATCAGTGAATAGATTATGAATTTATAAAGTATCATTCTACATTTTATACATTGGTTTCTTGTTAATTTATTTAAATTGAATCAATCTTCTAGAGACTGATGATTCTTGAAAGCACTAATATTCAAACTTGTAAATGTACAAAGCTCAGAGTGAGAAAATGTGACCAACCAAGGCTCTATTCATGTGGGGATCCTTCTAAAAGGCCATGTGGTCTTCCCTAGATGACACACCTCTATCACATTGCATGCTTTCTTCGAGCTACGAACCTGCTGAAACTGTGGTTTTTGTCATACTCACTCACAGTTCAGCTCTTCTAAGTAGTCTTCCCTCTTCTGTATTGAGATTGCATAGAAAGCTGCCCTGGTACCAAAAAATTAAATAGAAGTCTGCTTCCCTCATTGTTAATGGTGGGAAGTAATACCTGCCTTGCTGAAATGTGGTGGATATTAGTGATAATATATTGTAAAATTCTGAGTACAACGGTAAGAGTAGTCAGTGCTCAGTAAATGGTTCTATCAGAAGTATTGTTTCAATAATTTGTTAATATTTCTATTATAATACTGCATTTCAATTCCATTCATTTTAACATGTTTTCAGATAAAGTTCTTAACTCAGAAGAATTAAAATTTAGTCCCTTGTGCCTCAGTTTCTTCATCTATAAAATAAAGATAAAAACAATACCCTTATAGAGTATTTGTGAGATTTAAATTACCTTATGCATATAAAATGGTTAGAACAGTGTCTCATACATTTGTAAAATCTCATTAAATACTAACCATTATTATTAGTAATATTACTAGAATTTAGAGGAGAGACAGGTGAGTAAACTATAAAAACAGTTAATATAAGCAACTCTAGAGTATGCAAAGGAACCAGAAATAACCCAAAGAAATAAGGGATGACTTTAATTAGGGTTTGTTAGTTGGAGAGGCTTCCTGGAGGAGGCAGAATGTGAGCTTGTTTTTGAAGGCTGATTAAGATTCACCAATTAGATAAAGGCTTGAGGTTGCAAAATGAAAAAATCAACTCCAGGATGATACATGGCATCCAAAAGAGCATGGTGTGTTTGTGGAAGTAAACCAAACAATTGTTTTGCCGGGGTGTAAAGTGAAGTTGGGGGGGATGGCTGCCGCGGGAGAAGATAGTTCCCAAGGATGACACAAAAATGACAGATATCTTGTGTCCTACATATTTTGGATTTTATCCTGAGATTCTTAATTTAGGGTTCTTGCACCTCTATTGAGCTGACCATAAATAACTAGAAATTGGGCACAAAGTCTTGTGTTGTAGATGCATTTTAAGTGGGGGAGAATGTTCGAAGCCTTTTAATAGATTTTCAAAAGGATCTGTGTTGTCAAAATGAAAAACCACTGTTTGTTTTTGAGGATGATGTTAAGGATTTCAAATGGGATCAGGTTTAGCTTTAGAAAGGTCCTCCTAGTGGCAATGTGAAATAATGCCGGGTGGAAGAGATTTGGAGTGAGCAGTAAGGAGACTGTGTGAAGCCTCCAGGCAGAATAAAGGTCTGAGGGAGGAGGGGTGGGGCATAGAAAGAGGATAATGTCTACTCTCCATTTGGTATAGAATGATTTGTTCTTCCCATTAGGATCTGTGAAATGTTTAATATGTGCCAGGCACTGTGCTAGCTGCCAAGAATAGAAAGCCCTTAAAGAGCTTTGAAACTAATAGAGAAAACAGACAATGGAAAATTATCTAATTATGATTGTGTAACTGCTGTGCCTCCCCCTTAAATTGAGGTTCCCAGAGTTCACGGACGCTGTCTCATTCATTTCACTGTCTTCTAACTGGCCCACAAGAAGTGCTCAATTAGTGCCTATCTAATAGAATGAATATCTTAATTGTCCCTTGCCTGGTGGCCTCTTATGAGTGCTTATCTCTACTGACAGTAAACTTACCTACATGGGCTTCTAGGCTGGTGCTAATGCTTGCCTTCTTACCTTTAATAATAACAAGACCCTGCTCAGAGATAAATCTTATGCTAACTTGAGGTTTGCAAGTTACAAAGTAATAAATTCATTTATTCAAATTCTTCATGAAATCACTCCAATGTCTGGATATGTGATAACATCTGCTTACCGCTGATTCTACATGTTTTTAGTCATTAAATTATCCCCTTTGTAAGCTTTTTTTTTTCTAACTTGACAAAAAAATAGTAGCAGTATTGTTTGGTTTGTCCTATTTTTCTTTTGGGTTTCCTGTCTCCCTTCATTCAGCAAATATATTCAGTGCCTGCCATGTGCCAGCACTGTGCTAGGTGTAGGGGGAAAAAAGATAAATGGGAGCCAGGTCCTACCCACAGGCAGTCCTTAGCTTAGCTTGTGATGACAAATATACATGTAGACAAGTAGTTATGATCAGAAGAGCAGTTATGCGAACAGAGGAAGAGAAGGGTGACTCCTTTCACCTTGGGAAAAAAATACTGGAGAAACAAAGCTGAATTAGACAATACCTCACCTTCAAAGATCTCACTAGAGGGAAGATTTTGCAAATGCTAATTAAGAGGGGCAGGGAATTTTTAAGGAGGAGCAGCCTCATACCTGAAAGATGCCTCATCAGGCACTTAGAAATACTAACATAAAATTTAGAAGAAAGTCGTGGTTGAAAAATAGTTTAAATAATGCAATACCTGAAGGATCTACTCTGAATGCAACATGCAAATTTTAAAAAGGCAATCAATTATACAAAGAATCAGTGGGTTTTTCTCATAGAACGAATGCAAGATAATTCTGTATGAAGTATAGGTTGCTTAATTACTTTTAATGTAGTTACTGCAAAACCTAGGGACTCTACCTTGAAAGGGTTGTACAGTATTTACAATTCAACCAGCTTCTTAATCTATCCCTAGAAAATCTTGGTGACTGGCACCTACCTGCCCATCCTATTTCACCTGGGCTTTGGGTCACTTCCAAGCAATTTATTATATCTATGATCTCCTATCTGAACTGATTAGCATTTGCAAGACCAAATTGAAAATATAGCTTTTCTCCGCCTTAATTTTTTTTCACATAATTTGAATGGCTTTACTTGAAGGTTTTTTGAGTAGCGTTTAACCTTTTCAAAATTATGTCCATTTGTAATTTGCAGAGCAAATCATTTGTCCCATGGTAATATAGGAAGAGGGGTACCTGGTTGCAATAGAGGTAGAAAAAAGCTGCCCAATTAAAGTAAAGAATCAGATATTTTATATACTTTTGGATGTCTGAACTAACATTTCCATTGGTGTTGCTGTGGCTAAAGTAGTAGTAAGAAAAACACACATTTCAACTTGAGCTTCTGTCTGGGGAATGGATGACCTGAAGCTGTCTTGGGCTGATGTGAGAGGTAGTGGTTAGGGCATCTCTGCTCCCTTCTCTCTCTTTGAGATGATTAAGAGAATTTATAACATGTTGAACTAAATGTCAGCCAAAATCAATAAACAGGAGGTAAGAGCAGGCTGAGGCAAGTGAATTGACTCAGACAAATAAGCAGGCCAAGGGAACAGAATCCCCACAGCTGGAAAGGCTAAGCTGCCTCCTGCTTCTGTGGCAAAGAATATGAAACCTGCTGTTGAAACTAGATGTCATCAGCTCCCACGGTCTGTGTGGGAATGGTGATGGGGTCAAGCAGGCTGCCTTTCTGCTAAGATGACAGCTTCTTGATACAGAGTCTCAATTGGACTGACAAGCTTTTGAGAAACATAATTAAAGCACCATGTACTCCCATGCAAAAAATAATGATTCCATTAAAGTAATGTCTGAGTCTATCTATTTTACATAGTTTCCCTCACTTTTAAAATCATTTACTTCTACATTTAACTTAAAATCATTTTCACTCATTTTATAAAATGTTGCATCATTTTGTATGCTGATTCTCTTGGCACCTTTAAGTTATTGTGTCCTTGACCATATTATTAACTTGCTAGGTGGTCTAAGCTTTTAGACAGAGAGAAAGAGAGAGAGAAAGGCATTTGAATGTTTGTACTTATGTATTTAGGACCACCAGTTGCCTACAGAATGAAATGTAGTTAGTGGCGAAGTCTAAAATATATTTCTTGTTACTCCAGGCTGCGCTTCTCTCTGTCTAAATGCATGCTTAATTTTAAACAAAGGGGCAATATCATACTGAAACCCTTAATGGAATTTAGCTCCACACAGTTCTTTTTCATATAACTTAAGTTACTTTCCAATATTTCATTTTTAGATGAGGTTTATATACAACATTGAAGGGATACTTTAAAATATTGATTAAAAGAGTATTAATTTTGTAAACATAAAATAATTTAATTATCTAAAGATAAAAGTCGTTATGCAAGAACTTCTTAACTAGTCTCACCTTGATTTTCAGTACCAGTCCATGTTAGAACCATCCATGTCAAAATTTTTTATAGCATGTAATTCTCAGATTATAGTTCCCAAGCCAGCACCACAACCATCACCTTGGCCATCAATGGTTCCTGATTCCTGGTATTCACATCTTATCGAACCCCTTCCCACTGAGTGTGGTCTGGATTTATTGATTTACTTCTGCCAAATAGAATGTGACAGATATAATAGGACGTAACTTCCAAGATTAAGCTACCAAATTTCTGTGGGTTTTACTTTGGGGGCTATCTCTGACTCTCTTGCTTGCTCACTCTGAGGGATGCCAGCTGCCATGTTGTGAGTTGCTCTATGGAGAAGCTACCTGATGAAGACCTGAGGAAGTCTTCAGTTAACAGCCAGTAAATAACTGAGGCTCTCAGTTCAATAACTGGAGAGTAACTGAACCATGTCAATAACGTCATGAGGGATTGAAAGTAAATCCTCCTCCAGTCAAACCTTCAAATGAGACCATATCCCTAGCTGACACATTGATTGCAATTTGCAGCTGGATTCTTGACCCACGACAACTGTGAGATAATAACTGTTCATTATTTTAAGTCAGTAAATTTGAGGATGATTAGCTAGGCAACCATAGATAATGGATATACCTGGAACTTGTTAAGATCCATTACAGACCTACTGAATCAGAAATTTTAGAAGGGAGGCCCAGTAATTAGTGTTATAACAAGTCTCCTAGGCAATTCTGATGCATGCTGAAGTTTAGAAACCACTGCTTTACAGAATGAAGTCTAAAACCATTAGCTAAGCCTATAAGGTCCTTTCTATGGTTCTTTTTTGATAAATCTTTGTTCTCTCATCTAGTGTTATTCATCCCTAAGCATTCTCCATTCCAACCAATTTCAGCAGTTGCAGTCGAGGAAGATTTAGCAGCCACTGACTGTCTTATGAGCTGCCCAAACAATGCTGTTAAATTATTATTATTATTTAATTTAGTAATAATCATTATTATAAAATAAATGATAGATACTAATTGTGCAGATTACATATTAGGCTTTATTATAACCATTTTATGTATTATCTTACAAGAATTTGCTGATAAAGCCCTATGAGATAGGTAGTATTACTATTCCCACTTTACAACTAAGGAAAATAAGTTTTAGAAAGATAAACTAACTTGCCTGATATCAGTTACCATACTAGTAACTGGTAAAATTAAGATTTGACATGAGTCTGAGTGTTGAGTTGGCATATTGAGCTAATGGGCCACATGCCTCCCAGAACATTGCCTCCAGTTCTTTGAGTTTTCTCAATCAAGTCTCTTGGCTTTCTCATGTATCTTGGTCTCTTTCATGAAACTAAGTTCAGAGGTAATTGCCTATATAAAACTATTCTTTACTCTCTCTAGAAGAGATATACATTCATTTATTCATTCAACAAATATTTATTGAAAACTTATTATATGCCTATAAACATTACAGATATTACAAATCTAGCACTGGAAGGAAAAGCAAACAAACCAACAGATAAAAATTATTGCTTTGGTGCTTACATTCTAGCTGGGGAAAGAAAAGGCCTGAAAAGAAATAATTGAAAAATACGAATAGCTATGCTAGATGATAATAAGATGATATGATAGCATTAACAATAAAGGAAAGATTATATTAAATGCAATGGTTAGGGAAGCCAGCGCTGAAAGATAACATTTGAGAAAAGTCCTGATTTAGGTTAGGAATGCAGTTTGTGGCATTGATAAGTGAATGTCATGATTAGATATGAGCAAGTGTGAAGGTCCTGAGATGAGAGAGTGCCTGCCATATCGGAGGAATATCCAAGAGACATGTGTGGCTTGAGTTGAGTGAGTGAAGGGGTAGGTAGCACATGAGGGCAGAGATGAAAGGCAGGAGGAGAGATATCAAGAAGGACCTTGTAATCCACTGTAAGGAATGTAAGTTTTTCTCTGCATGGGATGGGAAGACATGGAAGGGTGTTGAACAGAGAAAATGACATGGTTTAATTTCTACCTCAGCAGATCACTCTGGTTGATATGTTATGAATAATCTATATGGCAAGGGTTGAATCAGGAAGACCTGTCAGAATAATTAGAATTCTATTTCAGTAATCTAGGGCTTAGACAATTGATCATGAATGTTTGGGCCATGATAATAGCAGTGAAAGTATTAAGAAGGGATTAAATTCTGGATACATCTTGAAGGCAGAGCTGATAGTATTTTCTAAAGCATTTGACATGGAGTGTGAAAGAAAACATTTTGGACTGTGATCAACTGGAAGGATAGAGTCATCTTTTACTGGGATAGGAAAGAATGTGTGCATTATAGGTTCTGGAATTTGCGTTTGGAATGCTAAGTTTATAAAGCATATATGCTATTCAAGAGATGTCCATGTGGAAATCAGGTATCCAGGGAAATTCAGAGGAGCAGATGATGCTATAGATATTAATTGGAGAGTCATCAGTTTATACACAATATTTATAACCATGAGACTGGATGAGATCATTAAGAAAACAAATATAGATAAAATCAATGGGACTCCATGAACAAATGTATATAATCATTAGAGCTTTCTCACTCCTTCACTTCCTTTTTAAACATTTATTAAATATTTACTATATGTCTGACAAACAGCTAGACCTGGTTTGTCTGCTTGCTTATTTCTCTTTCCAACTAGAAGAACTCACTGAGCCAGGGTTCAGTTCATTTACATTCATATTTGCATTTCAGGTACCTGGCAGATAATAGATATTTTATTGATTTTAAAATCAATCTGTAATTAATAAATATAATCAATTCTACTAATACTTGAGGTAAGAAATAAGATATGAAGAATTTTAAAAATAAATTATAGTTTATACATAAGAGTATGATGACAGTTAAAATGCAAATGGAATGTAAGAGAAAGCCATTTGTTTTAGTTTGGAACACATAAATTCTACTTAATAATGAAAGACATTTTTTAGGAGGTGAAACATAAAAGTAGATTAGGAGGAGTGTGAAAAGAATTTCAGGGACAATGAAAGTAAATATATTAGAGGGAGCTGAGGCCTAGTAATTGTATGAGTGTCTACATTTCAGACTCAATGTAAGAAGCCAAAGGACATTTAGAAACTTCAGACATTAGACTAAAGCCACAGTTTCTCAGTGTTCTGCGCCTGATGAAATATGAAAATAATTTCATGAGGCATGGTATAGAGGTGGTGGGGTGGGGGCGTTGGATGCTGGAGGAAATAAGAGAAGATGAATAATGCTATAATAAAATATAGAACTAGGAGCTTGATTCTGACTTATTCAGATCCTCAATAAGATTGAAAAATTGTGATAATCAAATGATATTATAGTCTGCATTACTGTATTCTTCACTTTGGAGTTGCAAGAAGACCAGCTCCCTCAAGTGCTCTTATGATCCCTTTGAAGTAGATGAGAAACAGCTGAGTGGAGGCAAATGAAAAAAATAATATCTTCAAGCAGGGTTCAGAGACAGCTGTCATGGTACTTTAGTAATAATGTTGAAAGACTTATGAAATGAGGGCATCCTCCCCAATATCCTGTAATGAGTAGTATTAATAATAAACATTTATCAATAATGTACATTTGAAATAAAATTTATTTTTTATTTTCTATTTTTATAAAGCCATATTTCATTTGACTGAAGCATAATTCTTAGCCAGAATGTCTTTCAATTAGAGTAATACATTCATTTACATTGATTCTGAGACTGCTTAAGCCTCATTTTGTATTTCTTATTTTTTTTTTTGGCTGAACTTTAGCTGAGGGTGAGTAAATTAATACTTAATGTAATATGTGTTTTTCAATCTAAGTTTAATCATCTTAGGTTATATGGAGTCATAGCTATGAGAGATGGGGGAAGGAAGATGCAATTATCCAATGCTATTTAATACAATTTAACAAACATTAATCAAGTTTATTTGGTACCCAAAGAACTTCAGCAGGTGTTGTGTAGGTGTGAGGGGGAAAATAAATAAAAAAAATGTCTAACTAAATTATTTACAATATGGTAGGGAGAAATATAGAAGTAAACAATGAATAAGAAAATCATCATAAATGCTACTAGGGTTTATATATCTTTTATGTGTATCGTAAGATTAAGCAGGAGATCTGGCATAAGATAGATCTAATTAATACTTTTTGAAAAATGAATGACAGGAGAGAGTAGATTAGAGAGGATGATTCTACTGCAAGTAACAAAATACCAGTCCAAGAAACCTAGACAAGAGGAATTTATGTTAAAATCACACTTAAAAACAACTCTTAATAGAGGTAGTTCTGCACTTGGATAATTCAGCAGCTCAATGATGGCAGAACTCTAGTCATTCTGCATACTGTTATTATACTCTATAATACATTTAGACTTCTTTTATTGTCATAAGTTGGTTGCCACCATTCTAACCATCAATTTCTCATTTCAAAATATCCAAAATCATGGAGGGGAAAGGGAATTGTCTCAGGAGTATTCCTTTTTTTTTTTTTTACAGAGAGATATTACTTTCAATGGCAAAAAATGCAATTAAATTTGCACCAACCTAATCATTTATTAGAAACTTACCCCTCCTCCCCCTCTGCCACACATACATGTTCCCCATAGGCCTTTTCTAGAATCACAGGACCAAACCCAGAAATGAAGTCTGGGATAGAATGTATGTGATATTTGAGCTTCTGTTGTGAGTGAGGTCTACAAGAAAAAAGAAAAGGAAGAAAAATGGTTCTTGGTTAAGAAGCAAATAGCAGATGCTCTTGGAAATATCACCATCAAGTAATTTCTTTGAGCAATGTACAACCTTCATCTTTTCCACTACTGAATATGCCCTCACAAGTGCTCCAGTAGGTACAGAAGCTCCCCAAACACCTATGTCCCTAGGTTCTTGGCACATGACACTTGCGATATTCATGCATCAGTGTCCTATTGTTTTATTTTTTAAATAACTATTTTACAGTAATTACCTGGTACTGCTCTTAGTCCTTTGTGAATTTTAACTCATGTAATTCTCACATTGATCCTATAAAGTAGATATTATCATCTCTACGTACAGATGGGGAAACTGAGGGCCATTGAGGTTAAGTAATCTGCACACAGTTGCACAGCCAGTAAGGCGTGAATGGTATGAAAATCAGGGTGTTTGCGTCCAGCATGGATGCCTTCACCATTCTGCTGCGCCACTTCTTCAGTGGCTTAGGGAAACATAGTGTCTTCTCTGACTTGCAAGCTCAGGCCTGCTGGAAGGCTAATTATACTGGGAATAGTAATAAATATTGCTACGAATCAGCTTGATCAAGTTGTGAGCTGTGTTACCCAACATCCCTGAGGTTTAGTTTCTTCATTTGTAAACCAAAGAGAAAAAGACTTCTAAGGTCATTTTCATCTTAAACATTCAGTGATAAAATTGACAATTAGCTGGTGTAGCTTTAGCAAAATTTGAAAGTCAGCCTTCTATTTTCATAACAACATTGGATTTTCTGTTTTCATTCTTGTCTCTTTGCAATCCATTGTATACATGGAACCCAAGGGATTGTGTAAAAAATCAAACAAATCAGCCATCATGTTGTTCTCTTGGCTAATGGGTTCATATGACTTCTCAATGCTTTCTGAACATATCCCTACTCCTTACTATGGCCTAAAGACCCCATGTGATCTGACCCCAGATGAACTCTCTTTTCTTATCAAATATACCTAGCCAGGTAAATCTTGTCTCATTCTTTGCCACATCAAGCTGTTTCCTGCCTGAGGGCCATCGTCTTGCTATGTCCTCATCTGCAAGCATTTTTGTCCCATCTCTTCACAGGGCTCCTTCTCATCATTCAGATATCAGCTAAAATATTATCTCCTCACAGCAGTTTTCCTAACCATGCTGTCTAACACAGGGCCTCTGAGCCTCCCTGCTCACACAGTCATTCTTTATCATACTATCTTGCTCTGTTTCCTTCACATAATTTAACCATTTTCTGCCATTATCTTGCTAATTAATTCGAGGGCAGGAACCATGTTCATTTTTTAACCATTACAGGGCCAACATATGGAATAGTGACATTTTATTGAAAAAAAGTTTCTCATTTATGTAAAAGACAATTATAATATTTTGGGCTTAATTAATTGAGACTAGGTTCTCAATTAAATATTTTTAAATTAAATTAACGAGCATATGTAAAACTAAATTAATGAGTCTTCTAATTATAATTATTTTGTGTTTATTTTTAAACTTTCATTTAATATATATAAGAAACATAAGAACAAATATAGACACAGTCATATTGCTGTATCAGTGAAAATGGCTAATTTTTGTTCGCCTTTTAAAAAATATATTAGTACTCAAATGGTTACTATTACATGATTTCTCTCCTTTGAAGCTTCTAAATGAAGAAAAAATATTTCTCCATTTTGTCAAACTACTATCTTCTCTTTCTAGGAAGCAGTTGATTTTGTGTATTTTTTGGAAATACGCTGGCCTATAAAAATTTTTCAAATGGTAGAGGTAACCTGTACTCAGCATCTGCTTTAGAAACAGCTCCAACATTAGATGGCAGCAGTAGATTGACTGATTGGGATTGATAGTAATAAATGGCAGCTCTTAATTCCCTATTCTATGATGATTCAATTCATTCCTGCATCTAGTAATCCTTTATCCTTTAAAAATACTATTGGGTAAACTTTGTAATAATCTAGAGTTTGCAAAGTATCTTGATAAAGAACAAAAGGTATTCCCTGTGGTACATGATGGCATAATGTTGAATTTTGTATTTTCCTGAAATTTCTTTTCTTTTCTTGGAAGCAAACAAAACACTGTGGATTGTTTTTTCTAGTTTGTCAGATGAAAACAAGCACACAAAACCTTTTGGGTGGCCTATACCAAAATGTAGATGTAGATGTTTATCTTGTCTTGAAGTTAATGGAGAATGGAAGTAGTATTTGGGGAGATGTGGCTGGGAAGGGCAAACATTGTCACGGCATGAAATATTCAGTTTATTCCTTTCTCTCTCCTTATTAGATATATTGGACATCTCTCTCCATATGAGGCAATTTGTCACCTTAGGTTAATAGCTGTATGAGAATTAGCTCTCAAGTCCAACTTAATAAATCAAGTCTTGAATTTTAGAATACTTGTAAAGTCTATTAAGACTTTCATTGCTACTTAAATAATCAGATGTGGGCAAAATGCATTTTCAATATTCTCTGTTCAGTTTATCACTTTTAAACTGTCAAAGCCAGAGCAATTTTAAAACTTTTAAGCTAATCAGTCTTCACTTGTAAGAATATGCTATCTTAGCAAGTAGCAAGGGCCTTGGTAAACAATGTGAAATTAAAAACTGTTGCTTGAATGAATAAATCAATGAATGAATATATAGATAGATGAATGGATAAATAAATATATTGTGCAGACTAAGGTATACTATGCAACTCAATAGACAATCAGCATCTACTATGGGGTAGGCATTGTGTGAAGACTGGGGAAATCAAGTTGAAGGGGAAAATCTTGACCATTAGACCTATACGTTAGCAGAGGGACTGACACTAACACAAGCTCATTACCATGTGCTATGTGGGAGGTAAAGGGTGCTCTGGGAAAACGGAAGGCAGAGACTGGAGATGTGATCTGAATTTGCCAGGCAAAGGAGGAAGTATATGAACAAAATTATTCTAGGCAGATGGAACAAAAAAGAGGAAGGTGCAAATCAGTGTGGTGTGTTGGGAAAATTGCAAATGGTTGACTACCGTAATGACAAGGCAGAGGTACAGAAGGTAAAGAGAAAATGATGCAAGATGAGGCTGGATCATGGAGGGCTTCATAAATTATGCTGAGAAATCTGCACTCTATCTAATGAGGAGGTGGGAAACAACCAAAAGATAAAATATTCTGGTAGTGAAAGTGAAGATAGATTTAAGAGTCAAAAGCCAGGGCAAATTATGTCTCCTACTGCAATTATTGATTATCAAAGCAAATCTTTCATCATCACATGGGAACTACGATCCCTCCTAAAACACTGACATTGATCTGTGATGGAGACAATATATAAGCTGAAATTGTGGGCAGAGGAAGTGCATATATAGAAATTGACTATAAAGTCACGAAATACCAGTTTTGAAGTGTGGTTTCAAGAGTCAGGTTCATTATTGCATCATTTCAACTCATTTTGATATATTAAAATTATGCAAGTTCCACTTTTATTCTTATGTTTCTTTTTTTTTGAGACAGAGTCTCACTCTGTCGCCCTGGCTGGAGTGCAGTGGTGCAATCTCGGCTCACTGCAGGCTCTGCCTCCCGGGTTCACACCATTCTCCTGCCTCAGCCTCCCGAGTAGCTGGGACTACAGGCACATGCCACCATGCCTGGCTAATTTTTTGTATTTTTAGTAGAGATGGGGTTTCACCGTGTTAGCCAGCATGGTCTCGATCTCCTGACCTCGTGATCCGCCCGCCTTGGCCTCCCAAAGTGCTGGGATTACAGGTTACTCTTATGTTTCTAAAGTAATTAGGCTCTTACCAAATATTAATATGAAACTTTTTTAGGGGGAAGAGGTTTCAGAGGTAAATGATCTTTACCTGATGGATCCCATTTGAAATTTCCCACATTTGTTTATGGCCATAATATTAAGCTTGATGAACTTTTCTTTAGGACCAAGGCTATGCTGTCATACCTTGTTGAAAAAGAACTACCCATTTCTGTGAAAGGGACTTATAGCATTTTGGAGGTCAAAAATGTCAACCCCTTATTATTCTCCATTTAGTTTTAGCCTATTACTCTACAATGCTTCTCAGGTTTTCCCCAAACCTCTTTTATCCTTTGTTATTCCATTTGCTTGTATATCTTTAAAAGTCATTGACATTATCAAGCTTGAAAAAGAGACAACAATACAACTCCCTGGATCTCAAAGGTATGTGTTTAGAAGCAGGAAGAAGGGTGGTGCGGGGGCTTCATGAGTTTTTAAGAACAACTTTATAGTTCTCTTTTTTTCTGCCATGGGTTAATCTCTGCCCTAATACTATGTTCTCTAAAAACTTTTCTTACTTTTTAACAGATTTTAAAATTAAAAATCCAATTGTTTTGCATGCAGGGTTTCATAGGTTTCCTACATTTTAAATATAGTCCTTTTAATATCTGGGTGGACGCTTCATGTGAAATTAACTTCTATAGCTACATGTTATTGCTTATGACTCTAAGCTTAGCACCTGCACATGTTTTGTAATCATTTCCTTAACACTATGACTTAAACAGTTACTAGAAAATAAGTGAGATCATAAACTGAGTACATCAATGCAGTTCCAGGATCCTCAATTTAGTCATAGCGATATAAGTAACCTCTTTTACAATTTATTTAGACATTTCACATACTATTACAGTACAGCATAAAAATATACATAAATACAATTTCTTTCATCTGCTTTTTGGACATTCAACCAAAGACTGTTGTAAAGTAGTATATAAAATTAATGAAAAATGCCACTAAAAATTTTCTTAAATGTGCATCCTTTGTGATGGATCAACTTTTATATTTATAAAACAGTAGCATATACTCAGTTCTACTTATGTATTTAGGCACTTAACACATGTGGATTTAAAAATTGTGTAGCCAACACAACTACCCTTATGACTGACTTGGGACACATAGAATTAGCTATTTGTGTTCTTGTGATGAGGGGCAAGTCACTAACAGCACCTGTAATTAACCACCTGCTCACCTAATTACAGAATCGCAGATTAGATATTCTGGAAAGCAATTTGCTTTCTACATTTCAGATTAAAGACACAGATTTACATAATAGGAGAACATTTATCCCACTAATGATTTCTAATAAATTCATACTCAATTTGCATTAAGAAGAGTCACATTGGGACCTGAATTTAAACACCATATTTTCAAGGTTTCTCTCTGGATGTGTGAAAACTACAGAAGCAATGACTTCCACAAGAGAATTCCATTTGAGGAACTAATTATGGAATCATGCATACATTTTTGAAACATAAAAATTAGATTTAGAGCTTGAAAGAAATAAGACTTCTTGCTTCACCCAAAAAGAATATAAAATGTACTTGTATATTAGTCTGTTCTCATGCTGACATAGAGACATACTAAGACTGGGTAATTTATAAAGGAAAGAGGTTTAATTGACTCACAGTTCAGCATGGCTGGGGAGACCTCAGCAAACTTACAATCATGGCAGAAGGGGAAGCAAATATGGCCTTCTTCACATGGCAGCATCAAGGATAAGTGCCAAGCAAAAGGGGAAAAAGCTCCTTATAAAACCATCAGATCTCGTGAGAACTCACTATCACAAGAACAGCATGAGAATAACCACCCCCAGGATTAAATTACCTCCCACTGGGTCCCTCCCATGGCACATGGGGACTATAGGAACTAAAATTAAAGATGAGATTTGGATGGCGACACAGCCAAACCATATCAACTTGTGAGCTTTGGTCAAGTCTTTCTGTATAATATAAACAAATAGCAAAACCATTTATGGTATCAGAAATATACGGACAGGACTGCTAATCACAGGGCAGAGCAAAATGGCCAAATAGAAGCTTCCACTGATTGTCCTGTCTGCAGGAGCACTGAATTTAACAGCCATCTACACAAAAAAGTCCTTCATAAGGACCAAAAATCAGATGAGTGATCACAGTGCCTGGTTTTAACTTCAAATCACTGAAAAAGGCACTGAAGAGGGCAGAAAAGATAGATTTGAATGACTGATGCCAACTCTCCCCCATTCTCCAGCAGCAACCATGTGGTTCAGAGAATCTGTATGCTTGGGGATGGGGGAGCACAGTGATTGTGGGACTTTGCAATGGAACCCTGTCATAGTGGGAAGCAACACCAGGCAAAACTCAACTGATGCCCACAGAAGGAACATTGAGATTAGCACTGGCCGGAGGGGAATCATACATCTCAGGAGTCAGAACCTGAGTTCTGGCAAGTCTCGACACTCTGGGATAAAGGGCTCTAGAGTTCTAAATAAACTTGAAAGGCATTCTAGGTCACAGAACTGCAACTCCTAGGCCAGTCCTAGTGGTGTGCTGGGCTTGGAGCCAGTGGACTTGGTGGGGCATGCAACCTGGTGAGACACCAGCTGGGGCTACTAAGGAGTACTTGCACCAACCCTTCCCCAAACCTAGGCAGTGTAGCTTGCAGCTCCAAAAGAGACTTCTTCCTTCAGCTTCAGAAGATGAGAAGAAAGCATAATGTGGACTTTGTTTTGCAACTTGGATGCTAGCTCAGCCACAATAGGATTGGGCAGTGGGCAAAATTGTAAGGCCCCCATTCCTGGCCCTAGCTCCCAGAGGACATTTCTAAACATACCCTGTGCCAGAAGGTAATCTGCTGCTTTGAAAGAAAGGACTAAGTCCTGACAGGATTCATCACCTGCTGCTAAAGAGCCCTCGGGTCCTGAATAATCAGCAGCAATAACCAGGTAGTACACACTCTGGGCCTTGGGTGAGATATGCTGACTTCAAGTGTGATCTAGCATATTTCCAGCTATAGTGGGTACAAGGAAAGCCTCCTTTTGTTTAAGGAAAGAAGAGGTAAAAGTGAAGGGAAATGTGTCTTGCAGCTTAGCTACCATCTCAGCCACAATTGGGCAGAGCACCAAGTGCATTCTTGGGGTCCCCAGTTCCAGGCCTTGGCTCTTGAATGGAATTTATGGACCTGTTCTGGGCTAGGATGTAGGGCACTGACCTGAAAGATGAGTCCCAGGCCTGGAAGCATACACCACAAGCTGACTGAAGAGCCCTTGGGCCTTAAGTGAACATTCACAGTAGACTGGAATTACTCTCTGTGGGCCTGTGGCAGTGGTGTTTGTGGGGAAAGACTTTTCTGCCTGTTAAAAGAGAGAGGGAAGAGTGGAAAGGACTTTGTCTTGTGGTTTGCATGGCAGCTCAGCTACAGTATAATAGCGTGCCAGGTAGATTTCTAAGGTTCCTGACTCATGGCCCTGGCTCCTTGATGACATCTCTGGACTCAACTGGGACCTGGGGAACTTGCTTCCCTGAAGGGAAAGATACAAACATGACTGGCTTCACCACTTGCTTATTGTAGAGTCCTACAGCCTTGAGTGAACATAGGCAGTATTCAGGTAGTGGTTACAGTGAGCATTTGGCAAGACAGTGCTGTTGTTTTCGCTTCAGGTCTGACCCAGAGAAGTCCCCGTGGTTGTGGCCACAGAGGTGCTTGTGTCACCCCTCCCTCAGCTCCAGGGATCTCAACACACACACACACACACACACACACACACACACACACACACACACACACAGAAAGACAGACAGAGAGAGAGATAAAGAGAGAGACTCTGTTTGGGTGAAAGTAAGGGGAAGAGAGCGAAGAGAATAACCCAGGGAATTCTCTCCGATGCTACGCGAGACCACCAAGTTGGTCTGCAAGAGCCGCAGCATTACTCTGTGTGGGGTGCCCTCTAATGCAGATAAGGCTGCAGTGACCCAGACTTAGGTCACAGCATCCAAGTCCCTTCAAATATCTGGAAACCCCTCCAAAGAAGGACAGGCAGAAACAGGCCAAGACTGTGAAGGCTACAATCAATACCTAACTTTTCAAATGCCCAGACACTGACAAAACATTCACAAGCATCAAGACCATCCAGTAAAGCACGACCACACTAAATGAAGTAAATATGGCACCAGGGACCAATCCTGGAGAGACAGAGATACGGGACCTTTCAGTCAGATCATTCAAAATAGCTGTTTTGAGGAAACTTGGAAATTCAAGATAACACAGAGAAGGAGTTCAGGATCATGATAGATTTATTTAACAAAGACATTGAAGTAATTAAAAAGAATCAAGCAGAAATTCCGAGCTGAAAAATGCAACTGACATACTAAAGAATGCATCAGAGTCTACTAATGGAAAAATTCACCAAGCAGAAGAAAGAATTAGTGAGCTTGAAGACAGGCTGTTTGAAAATACACAGTCAGAGGAAATAAAAGGAAAAAATAATAGAAAAGAATGAGGCATGCCTAAAAGATCTAGAAAATCACCCCAAAAGAGCAAATTTAAGAGTTATTTTCCTTAAAGGGGAAGTAGAGAGATGGTGTAGAAAGTTTATTCAAAAGGATAATAACAGAGAACTTCCCAATCCTAGTGAAAAATATCAATATTCAACTACAAGAAGGTTATAGAACATCTCACAGATTTACCTTGTCTCAAGATACCTAGGCAATCTTGAGACCATAATCAAACTCCCAAAAGTCAAGGAAAAAGAAAGGATCCTAAAAACAAGAGAAAATAAACAAATAAAATACAATGAAGCTCCAATATGTCTGGCAAAAGACTTTTCAATGAAACCTTACATTCCAAGAGAAAGTGGCATGACATATTTAAGGTGCCGAAGGAAACAAAACTTTTAACCTATAATAGCATATCTGGTAAAAATATCCTTCAAACATGAAGAAGAAATAAAGACTTTCCCAGACAAAGAAAAGCTTATGGATTTCATTTACACCACAAATGTCCTACAATACATGCTAAAGGGAGTTTTGTAATATAAAAGAAAAGGACATTGATCAGTAGGAAGAAATCATCTGAAGGTACAAAATTCACTGGTAATAATAAATACATAGAAAAACACAGAATCTTACAACACAGTAACTGCAATGTGTAAATTACTCTTATCTTAAGTAGAAAGACTAAAGGATGAACCAATCAAAAATAATAACTACAATTTCTCAAGACAGTACAATATGATAGAAATGGAAACAATAAAAAGTTAAAAAGCAGGGACATGAAGTTAAAATGTAGAGTTTTTATTAGTGTTTTCTTTCTTGTTAGTTTGTATGTTTATGCAGTCACCGTTGTCATCAGTTTAAAACAATGGGTTATAAGACATTATTGCAAGTCTTATGTTAACCTCAAATTAAAAAACACACAATGTATATACAAAAAATAAAAAGTAATACATTTTAAAATACCATCAGAAAAATCACATTTATTAAAAGGAAGACAGGAAGGAAGGAAAGAAGGAAGAGAGGACCACAAAACAACCAGAAAACAAATAACAAATAGCAGGAGTAAGTCCTTACTTATCAATAACATTGAACGTAAATAGACTAAACTCTCTAATTCAAGGACATAGAGTGGCTGAATGGATAAAAAACAAGACCCAGTGATCTTTTGCCTACAAGAGACACACTTCACCTATAAAAACACAAATAGACTGAAAGTAAAGGGATGGAAAAAGATGTTGCATGCCAATGGAAACTAAAAAAGAGAAGGAGTAGTTGTATCAAACAAAATAGATTTCAAGACAAAAGTTATAAGACAAAGAAGGTCATTATATAATAATAAAGGGTACAACTCAATAGGAAGATACATCAATTTTACATATGTATGCACTGAACACTGGATCACCATATATATAAAACAAATATTATTAGAGCTAAAGTGAGAGATAGACCCCAGTACAATAATAGCTGAAGACTTCAATACCCAATTTTCACCGTTGGACACATCATCCAGTCAAAAAATCAACAAAGAAAACACCAGACTCAGCTTCAATATAGCCCAAATGGACTTAATAGATATTAACAGAACACTTCAACCAACAGCTGCAGAATGCACATTCTTCTTCTCTGCATGTAGTTCATTCCCAAGGACAGACCATGTGTTAGGCCACAAAACTAGTGTTGGAACATTAAAAAAAATTAAATCATATGAAGTGTCTTCTCTGATCACAATGGAATTAAACTAGAAATAAATAACAAGAGGAATGTTGGAAACTATACAAAAACATGGAAATGCAATGATATGTTCCCGAATGACCAGTGTGTAATAAAAAATTTAAGAAGGAAACTGAAATATATCTTGAAACAAATGATAATGGAAGCAAAACATACCAAGACCTATGGGATACAGTGAAATCAGTACTAAGAGGGAATTTTATAGCTACAAGTGCATACCTCAAAAAGGTAGAAAAACATCAATTGAACAACCTAATGATGCATCTTAAAGAATTAGAAAAGCTAGAGCAAACCAAATCCAAAATTAGTAGAAGAAAAGAAATAATAAAGATCAGAGCTGAAATCAATAAAATTGGTAGAAAGAAAACAACACAAAAGATAAATGCAACAAAAAGTGTTTTTTTAATAAAAGATAAAAAAACCTTTTGCCAGACTAAGAACAAATGAGAGATACCCAAATAAATAAAATCAGAAATGATAAAGGAGACATTACCACTGATAAGCAGAAATTCAAAGGATCATTACAGGCTACTGTCGGCAACTATATATGAACGAATTGGCAAACCTAGAAGAAATGGACAAATTCCTAGACATATACAATTTACCAATATTAAACCATGAAGAGGTCCAAAACCTGAAAAGACCAAAAAAAAAAAAAAAAAAAAAGAAGTAATGAGATTGAAGCGATAGTAAAAAGTCTTCCAGCAATAAAAAGCCCAGGACTTGACAGCTTCACTACTGAATTCTAGCAAACATTTAAAGAATTAATGATCACAGCTGCAGCCTATCTAGAGTGGCCACTGCCATGATGCTGGCTGCAGTGTGGGAGGCATAGCCAGGGCCGTGCACTCCAAGGAGCCAGTGGTAGCTGGGAACAGGTGGAAGTCCTGCCCCCTTCAGAGTTGTCAGGGCAAAAGCCTCTTGTTCCCCAGGTGTGTCTGTGGCCACCCAGCTGCAGCTGCAGACCTAGGCATCATTGTGCTCTTGGGAGCTGGGAGCAGGCAGGAGCCCCACCCTCTGAGGTGCAGCTGCAGCCACCCAGCCATGGCTGTGGACCCAGGCATCTCTGCACTCTCAGAGACCCAGGAAGGCCTTCTGCCTTCTCAGGCTCAGAAGTGCCTGTTTCCTCTGTCTGGATTCTCCCCATTCCCAGTGCTCACTCTGATCTTTGAGCAAAGTTGAAGCCAAGCCTGGGCACTGTCACAACCTGGCCAGGTGTACTCATGCTTAGGGCAGCACTGACATGCCAGCCTCCTCCCAATTTAGACCCCTCCAGACTTTGGGTGCTGATGAGCATGGGGGTAAAGCTGAGGGGAGGGCTGAGGGCAGCTTGGCACTCACCTGCAGGTGACCCTTAGCACTAACAGCCTGGGCACCATAAAAAGTGGTACGAGGCAAGTAGGCTTTTGGGCAGAAAAGGGAGGGTCCCTGGTGAAGCCCTACTTTCAAGCTGGGGAAGGCCTAAAGCCTGGAGGCTGGGCTGGTAATCCCGTGGACTGGAGTGGGAACTTATAGTGCTTTTCCCAGGTCCACCCATTCCTGCGCATGAACAAATAAGCACACACTTCCTCCCTTCTGAAGTGCATAAAACCCCAGACTCAGCCAGACATGAAGAGAGGTCGGGATGAACAGCTGCAGAGAGGAGCTAACCACTCCAGGGTCTCCTCTCTGCTGAGAGCTAAGCAGATGTCAGGATGACCAGCTGCAGAGAGGAGCTACCGACTCCAGGGTCTCCTCTCTGCAGCCAGGGTATCCCAGTGATACCCTGTCAGCAGAGAGGAGCTACCCACTGAAGGTCTCCTCTGAGCTGCTCTATCACTCAATAAAGCTACTCTTCATCTTTCTTATCCTCCACTTCTCTACATATCTCATTCTTCCTGGACATGGGACAATAACTTGGGACCCACTGAATGCCAGGGCTGAAAGAGCTGTAACACAAAAGGAGCTGAAACACGCCCCTTGCTTACCACATTGCAGGCAATGAAAAGGAGAGAAGAGAGAAGAGCTGCAGCCCTTCAGGTGTTCCAGACCTAGGAGCTCCCTGAGCCAGGGCTGTGACACCCCTTTGGGGGCTCTGCAGTTCCTGGCGTCTCCAAGCTTCCAGGTGCCACCACATTCCCCAGTGCCAGCTGTGGAAGCTGTTGTGGGACACCTTGTCCAGCTGCAGCCTTGCAGGGAGCCGGCACCCATACCAGTGCCTGGAGCTGCCCACCCTACCGCAGCCAACATGCCTGGCTATGCACAGTAACCAGACCCCATGCTCACTTGCTCACACACTCCTTGCTGCTCCACATGCTTGGCAGGCATGGGATCCAGGCCAGAAGTGCAAGCCGAGTATGCTTGTCAGGCTGAGTGGGCCCAGTGGGCGCAAGCAAAACTCGGGCAAAGGTGCCACTGGCCACAGAGGTTGCTGGCTAATGAAGTGACACCCAAAGGATCCTGTAACACTAATATCAATCCTACTCAAACTATTCCAAACAATGTAGGATGTGAGGGTAATTCCAAACTCATTCTATGAGGCCAGATTACCCCGATAGCAAAACCAGACAAAGATGACATATAAAAAGAAAAAGAAAGAAAGAAAGAAAGAAAGAAAGAAAGAAAGAAAGAACACTCAAACAAACTACAGACCAATGTTCCTGATTAACATTGATGCAAAAATCCTCAACAAAATACTAGCAAATTGAATTCAACAACACATTAAAAAGATCATTCATTATGGCCAAATGGGATTTTTTCTGGGGACGTAAGGATGGTTCAACATATGCAAATCAATCAGTATGATACATTATATCAACAGAATCAAGGATAAAAATAATATGATCATTTCAATTGATGCTGGAAAATCATCTGATAATATTCAACAGTCTTCTTAATAAAAACCCTAAAATAACTGGGTACAGAAGGAACATACCTCAACATAATAAAACCCATTTAAAACAGACCCATGGATAGGATCATACTGAATGGGGAAAAGCCAAAAGCCTTCCTTCTAAGATCTGGAATATGTCAAGGATGCCCACTTTTGCCACAGTTATTTAACATGATACTGTACATTCTAGCTAGTGTAATCAAACAAGATAAATAAATAAAGGGCATCTAAATTGGAAAGGAAAAAGTCAAATTATCCTTGTTTGCAGATGATATGATCTTATATTTGGGAAAAACTAAATACTCCATGAAAAAACTATTAGAACTAATAAACAAATTCAGGATTCAGGATTCAGTTTCAGGATACAAAATCAACATACAACAATCAGTAGCACTTCTATATGCCAACAGCAAATGGTCTGAAAAAGAAATTTAAAAAGTAATTTCACTTACAATAGCTAAAATTAGTCTACACAGTAGCTACAAATAAAATTAAATACTTAGGAATTAACCAAAGAAGCAAATAATTTCAATAATGAAAACTATAAAACATTGATGAAGGAAATTTAAGAGGACACACACAAAAAGGAAAGGTATTCTGTGTTCATGGATTGGAAGAATCAATATTGTTAAAATATCCATGTTACCCAAAGCAATCTACAAATTCAGTGCAATCCATTTTAAAATACCAATGACATTCTTCACAGAAATAGAAAAACAATCCTGAAATGTATATGGATCCACAAAAGACCCAGAATAGTCAAAGCTGTCCTGAGCAGAAAGAATAAAACTGGAGGAATCACATTACCTGACTTCAAATTATACTACGGAGCTATAGTAACCAAAAAAGCATGGTACTGGTATTAAAACAGACACATAAACCAATGGAGAAGAATAGAGAACCCAGAAAAAAATCCATACAACTATAGTGAACTCATTTACCACAAAGGTGCCAAGAATATACATTGCAGAAAAAACAATCTCTTCAATAAATGGTGCTAAGAAAGCCGGATATCCATATGCAGAAGAATGAAACTACACCCCTGTCTCTTGGCATATACAAATATCAAATCAAAATGAATGAAAGTCTTATATCTAAGACTTCAAACTGAAACTACTACAGAAAAACTGTGAGGAAAATCTCTGGGGACATTTCTTTGGGCAAAGATTTCTTGAGTAATACTCTACAAGAACAAGCAGCCAAAGTAAACATGTACAAATGAGATTACATCAAGTTAAAAAGCTGCACAGCAAAGTAAACAACTAGTAAAGTGAAGAGACAACCCAAAGAATGAGAGAAAATATTTTCAAACTATCCATCTGACAAGAGATCAATAACCAGAATATATAAGGAGCTCAAACAACTCTAAAGGAAAAAAAAAATCTGTGAATTCAATTAAAATGAGCAAAACACCTAAATAGATATTTCTCAAAACAAGACGTACAAATGGCAAACTGGTATATGAAAAGGTGCTCAATATCATTGATCATCAGAGAAATGCAAAGCAAAACTACAATGAGATATCATCTCACCCCACGTAAAATATCTCTTATCCAAAAGACAGGCAATAACAAATGCTGGCTAGGATGTGGAGAAAAGGCAACCTTCATCCACTGTTGGTGGGAGTGTAAATTAGTATAACCACTATGGAGAACAGTTTGGAAGAGGTACCATATGATCCAGCAATTCCACTCCTGGGCATATACCCCTAAGAAAGGAAAGCAGTATAACAAAGAAAAAAATTGCAATCTTATTTGATCAGATCTAAGTTTAGAATATGTACATACTCCCATACGAAGAGACCTACTGAGAGGAACTCTCAGCAGAGACCCCTCACAGACATGAGGAGACATTCACATTGAGAAACAAAACTGCTGTTCATCTGCCTTTGTTGTCATGAGCCAGAGAAGCAACCAGCCTTACACCAGTTCAAGACTAATCAGCGGGTTGCCCATGTATTAAAAGGATGCAGCTGACATACTATCAATATGGTATATGCTTTGAGCAATCTTTTTCATCCTCAGCGATAGGCTTGTGTGGCCTTGACCTTATAACCAAAAACATGAATTTGCAAGACAGCTGGTCAGGGTGTGGGATGTATTCTGCACCTGTTAGGGCCAAGGTACAAGTCCATATAGGGAAGACCTCATGCTTTCAACTTAATTAGCTTCAAGCCTTAACCAACTAAACTAAATGGCCATGCATGAAGCCCTTCCTACGCACATACACTCATATACAACTGTACACAAAAGACAGATATACTTTTATTATGCAAATCACAGAGGACCATTGTAGGTCCCCAAACCAATTTTTGAGACTATTCTAAATTAACCTCCAAAAAGAAAATGAAGGAACAGGTCGGTTTAACCACTTGAAATCTTCCTGTGGAACGTACTCTAACTAAAGATATTATATTTTTAAATGAAGGAACAGGTCGGTTTAACCACTTGAAATCTTCCTGTGGAACATACTCTAACTAAAGATATTATATTTTTAAAAAGTGCCAAAGTTAAGATCAAAGTATAATGTTAGACAATTCCATTTTCCCCCATCATTTTGTTAATGATTGCTCATCTTAGGATTTATGATTCTAAACTCATCAATATTAATTTCTGGTCTTCTTACAGCTAAGATATAATCCATCCTGAGCCATGTCTGTGACCCTTTGAGACAATGTATGTAATTCAGTTAAGATTTAGCTTCTAGTCCCAACCCTGCTTCTTACTAGCTTCATATAGGCAAATCTCAGCTGCCCTGTGCTTTTATTTTCTTATCTTAAAATGGAGCACTTGAACTTGGTCATAACTAAAATACACTAATTTCTAAATTTCTTAATTTCAGAAATTCCACAGCCTATCTTCCCCCATGACATCAGTTAACAAAGTTCCTCCCAGACTATTCATCCAAAGTAGAAACTTAGATCTTTATGATGATCTTCACGGTTCCACATGGACTGCCTGCTTCCCACTTCCCCCTTCTACTTGGCTTCCTACTGCTCTCCAGGTCACTCTGACCTCTTCATATTTCCTCATACCCACTAGGTACCCTCCAAAACAGCCTTTGCACCAACTGGAATGCTTTCTCTCTCTAGATAACTGTATGGCTTGCTTTCTCATTTCTGTTAACTATTTACTCAAGAATCACCTTCTCAGTGAGGCATTCTTTGGCCACCCTTATGAAATATCCCTGCCCCGGCCGGGCGCAGTGGCTCATGCCTGTAATCCCAGCACTTTGGGAGGCCGAGGCGGGTGGATCACGAGGTCAGCAGATCGAGACAATCCTGGCTAACACGGTGAAACCCCGTCACTACTAAAAATACAAAAAATTAGCCGGGCATGGTGGCGGGCTCCTGTAGTCCCAGCTACTCGGGAGGCTGAGGCAGGAGAATGCCGAGAACCCAGGAGGCGGAGCTTGCAGTGAGCCGAGATGGCGCCACTGCACTCCAGCCTGGGCGACAGAGCAAGACTCCGTCCCCACCGCCCCCCCCAAAAAAAAAGAAAGAAATATCCCTGCCCCAAACTGACTTCCTGTCTTCTTTCTTTCACTTCATTTTTTTTCTCCTTAGCATTTACTATCCAAATATTGTATATTTTACTTATTTGTCCTGCTTATTACTCTCCCCTTCCCCCTTGAAAGCTCCATTAGGGGAGAGATTTGTGTCTATTTTGTTTATTGCTATACCTAAAACAGTGCCTGGAATCAAGCAGGTTATTATTAAATGATTGTTGAGTGAGTAAATGAATGAATAAGTGAAATGAATTACTCTTAACTCTATCTAGGAATTCTTGTTCATATCTTTCTCTTTTTTTGATTTTTATTTTTTGTGGGTACATAGTAGATTTGTATATTTATGGGTTACACAAAATATTATGATATAGGCATACCATGTGTAATAATCTCATTAGGGTAGATGGGGTATCCATCACCTCAAACATTTATCTTTTGTGTTACAAATGATTCAACTATATTTTTAGTTATTTTTTAAATGTGCAATTAAATTATTATTGACAATAGTCATCCTGTTTTGCGATTAAATGCTAGATCTTATTCATTCTATCCAATTATATTTTTATACCCATTAACCACCCCACTTCCTCCTGGCGCCCACCACCACCTCTCCCAGCTCTCCCAGCTTCTAGTAATCATCATTCTACTCTCTACCTTCATGAGTTCAATTGTTTTAATTTTTAGCTTCCACAAATAAATGAGAACACGTGAAGTTTGTCTTTCTGTGCCTGGCTTATTTCACTTAACAAAATGACTTATGGTTCTATACATGTCATTGTATATCATATAAGATTGCAATTTTTTTCTTTGTTTGTTCTTTCCTGTGCTCTTCTTGAAAAGCTGATTTCAGTGACAATTCCCATGAACTGTCATATTTAACCTTATATATCAGTTATTAGAGACTTTTGAATTCAGAGTAAACTTACCAATATAATATTGTCAATTAGTATATTGCTATTAATCTTAGAATTTTTCCAAGTTTTCCAAGATGCTATGCTTGCATCTAAGATGCTGAAATGACAAGTTTTGTAAGAGATTTTTTTTCTAAATGGAATATTCAGTGAATTATCTAGGCTACAGTGTAGGAAGTGGCAGACAAGAATACAGACTCTAGTTCTAGTGTGTGCTATGCTGTTCAGCAATTAGACTATCTTGAAGTAAGAGCATTTAATTTCTATAGGTCTTATTAAAATAATTGCTTTAGATAAGGTGACTTCTAAATTACCTTCAAAATAGAAAAATATTCTTACTTATTCACTTTATATTGAGAGTTGAAGCAAAAATATGTATTTTAGTCAGGATACACTAGTTGTGGTTAAGACAACAGACAGATCTGTGTTCCAAGTGTATTTCCCACTTACTGGTTGGGTAAGCTTGTACAATTTACATAACTTTAAAAACCTATCTCCCCATTTGTCAAACAAAGGTGAAAATCCATAAACAGGTTTTGGGAGGATTAATTTAGGGAATATATAAAGTACTTGGAGAGGTGAATGCCACATAATAGTAAAAAATGGTTGCTATAGTTATCTCCTTTTCTGCATTTTCTATATATAAGTTTATGTATATAAATAATTCCATTGCATTAATAATGTAAGAATAAACATAAACCATTCCTCACATAAAATGCAACTTTACCCAACAGATACATGTCTTTATTTGAGAAACAATGACTATACACCCACAATAACATCTCTCACTGAGAGCAGAATGCCTGAAATTCCTGTATCAGCAGTTACTTTTTGTACTAACAGGGTACTAAGGAACCAACCAGTCTGAATATCAGTGAGTCACACAGGCATTTATTGGCATTTAAGTGCATGAGGGGACAAGTCCTTATGGGACTGCTGCCAGGCTAGATGAACATTGAAAGCAGGAGAGGAAAATGGGTGAGCTGAGATTAGCAGCACTGGACCAGCTAAAAGGGCAGCCCCGGTAAAGCGCTACCTTGGGAAAGCTCCGGACTATCAAGTGCGACCAGGTACCTGGTCTAGGGAGGTGGTAGGGTGAAGGGGTATGAAAATAGAGTTGAACAACTCATGAGCTGACACTCAACATAGAGATTATCTCATGTGAGTAATTTATCTCAGTACTGGTCAGTTTTTAAATAGAAATTCTTGGGCTTAGGGTAAACACAAAAACCAGGATCTACTTACTCTGAATAGAGTCATGCACTAGCTAACTTTAAAAGTCAAATAATATCTTCCTCTAGAGTCTTTTGACAGGCATAAAGCAATTTTTCTCACATTAAATTATTCCTTTTATAACCTTTGCTTCCCTTAGTTATTTGAATTATGATGTGAATTTCTTCATTTAGCTGTTCTTTTTAGTATCAACGGCAGCGTTACAATGAAATACTCTTATTTCTCATTATAATTCATTAACCTAGCATTTTATAAACTTAATATTGTAAATCTCATTAATTTAAAATTCAGGAAAGAAAAAAATAGCACCTCCAATAAAGAAGCATTTATTGTACCTGATAATTCATTTTAACCACCAAAGAACCTGACATTGAGCCAATTTCCTTTTCCAAGAAAATAATTTATGAAAGAATCAAATGACTTGAAAATGGGTATGTTGAGCATGAGGGTTATTAAGGTTTATTTTAAATCTCACTTTTGTTTTGGTACATTTCTATGGTGAACACTTGAACACTGGCTGCCACTGAGGTTTATCAGTAACCTGTTATGATAAAATGATGGTACCATGTCAGAGTCATTACATAGCTATGCCTGAGCCACAAAACAGCTTGGGAATTGGCAGCTGAATATACTTTGGCAACACTGAAGACCCTGAAATAGTTAACCACACACTGCCTGTAGCTAGTGTCTTCCTACAACATTTTTCTGATGCTGGAACAGTATTGTTGAATAAAGTGGATGTGGCAGAGACTGCCAGCTAGTCTCCAAAATTTTTTTCTTCTTCCTGGGAACACAGTAAGCCATATATTCCAGGCTTCTTTCTTGAAGTTAAGAATAGTTTTGTGTGATACAGTTTTAACAACAGAATGTCCATGGAAATGATGGGTACCGTTTCTAGGTCTGAATAATTAAAATCTCCCACATTTGCTCTTCCATGTTATTCTGTACTTTCTGTTGCCTGAAATGGGCCTGACCCCAAGGCAACAACTGAAGACATACTAAAGGTGTCAATATGTTTATCAACTGAGTTGCTGAATGACAGCACGGAAGAAGGCCATTCTGCCAAACATTTCACCTATTTGTTCTGTTAACATGAGGCAGAGAAAGGTATCTATTGTGTTTAGGCATCGTACACCTTTAAGGGGCTAATTCTTTTTTTCTTGTTTTTGAGACAGAGTCTTGCTCTGTCGCCCAGGCTGGAGTACAGTGGTGTGATCTTGGCCCACTGCATCCTCAGCTTCCCGGGTTCAAGTGATTCTCCTACCTCAGCCTCTCGAGTAGCTGGGACTACAGGAGCCAGCCACCATGCCCGGCTAATTTTTGTATTTTTAGTAGAGATGGGGTTTCATCATATTGGCCAGGATGCTCTTGAACTCCTGACCTTGTGATCTGCCCACCTAAGCTTTCCAAAGTGTTGGGATTACAGGCATGAGCCACCATGCCTGGACAAGGGGCTATTTCTTACAGTAACTAATATAGTGAACTCTCTTGTTTCGGAAACTACTCTTTTAAGCTTCTGATTGATTTGTTTTTGCGTGTGTGTGTTTGATTTGCCACAGCATCAGCTGGTCCATCCAGATGATCCAAAAAAAAAACACAGAAAATGTTAAGTTCATAGGTTTACTTTATCATTTTGTGAACTGATGGGGGTATTTAGCAAGGAATAACATCACTGAAAAAGTATTCAAATATAACCTACTGGGCAAAAGGTAACTGTTTTTCGAGAGTAAATCAAGTCTGCATAAAGACAAGAGGAAATAACTTTGGATGGTTATAAATGTTTGCATTAAGATTCCACGTTGAAACTCACAAAATGCAGGAGTTATAAGAAACCACACTGGTCATCTATTTTAATTTCACATTTGAGGCTCAAAAAGATCTTACCATTAAAAAAAAAAAAAAAAAAAAGAAAGAAAAGAAAAGAAACACCACTGCATCGGTGGGATGAGAAGTAAAAAGATATTTTCTATTGGAAAAAGATACGATTTTTAAAAAGGAGGAAACCACCAGTGAGGGATTGAAATCGGTTCTGTACTCAATGACATCACTGACCCTGTAGAAAATATTATGTATTCAATGTAGGTAATGTGTTTATACAAACAGAAAGTGCCACAAAAAGTGGGGCGCTATTCAAAGTAGAAAGATAAATTTTCTCTTCTATCTAGATATGCATAAAAATAAACTGTTACTGGAAGTCCTTGGCTCTAAATATGGCTATGGCTACTAAAGGAAATAAAGAAGTTTCAAAGCAAAGGAACTAAAATGATCAAAGGAAAAAAGTTAAAGAGTGAAGAAAATGTGAATTCTCCATTTTGAAGAAGAAAAAAAAATGGTGGGTTGAGAATCACCAAAGAAAAACAACCATGAAGGCGATTTTTAGAAGAAAATCGATTGTTTATATAATGCCAAATATATAGACATATAGAAGCAGATGATGAATTTAATATTAAATAAAAGAAACTCATTACTCTTCAGTGTAGTAGGATGTATGTTTCTGCTTCATAAAGCATCAGTAGCATTTAGCACAGGCTGCTCCACATATAAAGAAGAGCTTATTTACATTTTAAGTGCTACATTTATAGAGAAAAGTTGTAAGTATACATTCTTTCATTTTTTTGAGGTTATCATCATGGATTATAACTGTGCTTCTCAGAAATTATTTTTTGGTGCCAGCATTACATATAGAATATGAGAGAGATAAACCAATGTTTTATTTAGGATGACATTTCTTAAGTTCTAAATTTTTTTATGGCTACTATAGTTTGCATCCTATTTACAACTACATACATATATTTGAGTATATACACACACAGCCATGCCTACATATGTATGTCCACACCCACATACATAAACACAAGTTTATATATGTACATATACATATATTCATACTAGGGGTATATTTCTGACACTACTGCTTTTCAGTAAAGAGTGTCCTAGGAAAGAGATATCACAAGTTATTTAATTTTGGTTCCTGAGATTTTCTACCTTCCCTGGTGAAGGCTAAATCAAAGTTATGTCTTCGTACATTTCCTTGGATTTCATTTCAATCACACAGGGAATCTTTTGTAGAGGGAGCATTTTCTGTTTTACTTTCTGTTTATGGCTACAGACTAACTTGTTACGACTTTTCCAAATTCAACACTTGGCATTTTTTTCTTGTTCTCCTGATAATCCCTATAGTCTGTTTTCCTGGATATTATGAACCTTTTATTTTCAGGCAGGCTTTTGATAACCATAAGTCAAAAAACATAAGTTGCTGAATTTTCCAAGTTAAGAGTTGAAATTGGTCCTTTGGTATGATTTAGATGCAGGAAACTGCAAATTCCTAATAATTAATGAGTTTAACTTGCCGGCTTTTTTGAGCTGAGACAAAATTTTTCTTAATAATGAAATAAAAAGTATAAATGCCATGTTGCCTGTACTTAAAAAATCATACATAGAAATTAATGCATGTATAGCTTTTTCCCTGGCTTACTACGACAGTACATTTATTCTGATGAATTAAGAGAACATGGTTTTTACAAAGGTAACTACATTTTTCTTGGCATTAAATTAGCTTATAGAGGACATCTTAATGGACTCTATTGAAACCAACGTCACCAGGTGAAAATCTGTAAACACTGTATTTAAAGAGGCTTGCTGTAATGCATCAAAATCTCCACTAAAAAAAAAAAAAGTAGTTGTGATTTTTGCTGAATAGTACTTACATCTGTTAGGCTGCTTCTAGAAGAAAATAGAAGATAAGAAGTCTATAATGGACAATGAACTCACTACTTAGCATAATCAGCTCTGGTACTTATTTGGAATTTTAAAAGCTTCTTTTTATTATTTTAACATCCATTTGGGTAGCTAATTCTTCATGTCTCTATAGAGTACATCAGGGTCCCTTTTAAATGAAATGCTCAATGTATTGAAATTTATACCCCTCAGAAAATAATGTGAAAATACATTATATTTCCAGAAAATAATAAAAAACACTAAAACAGAGTTTGTTTTATACCACAAATGACACTTATATTTAGAAAAAATGCATATGAAAACCTATGTAATCAACCTTCTTTAACTTACTGTATTCTATGGAGATGTTGCTCTTCAATTCCTTTTGAAACATAGCCATCTAGCTTATATTTCCATATTTCCCTTTATTCATGTATTGCATATAATGTTGAAATTATTCTCCAATTATTTTAGGTATATATATATACACACACACCATACATATATACATGTATATATACATACACACACCTAAGGTTCTCTAATTGAGGGTTCATATATATATATATGTTTCCGCTTCATAAAGCATCAGTAACTTTATGAAGTAGTAGAGAACCTTACTAAGTTCATGAGGCAGAAACCATCCTTTCAATTTCTTGTACCATCCTGTACTCTTTCCAAACTGCCTAACTTTTACTACTGAACTAAGAAAGGTAGTAAGAATCATTTCTGCAATATGAGATATGAAGTGCTATGGGGATTACAGGGAAGTAAAAGCTATGGTTCCCAATCCCAAATATGTTTTCACAGTGCAATTGGCAAAACAATACACAAGTTAGCTGAGACAACAATGTAATGTGTGGTGGCCAGTGTAAACAATCAGTGCTCTAAAAGATACAGGAAGTTACAATGATGAGGAAATGCTTCCTGGAGAAAATAGGATTTACCCTGAACCCTCAGTAAAGGTTAAGAATTGAATTGGTGGACGAGGGTAGAGGGCATAAATGGTGACTAAAAAGGGAGGAAGAATGGAGTGGATGGTTTGTAGAGAGAGTGTTTATTTAAAGCATATTCAAGAGGACCAATTCTCAGAGTCCCATTTAAATCCTTGTGCTGCAATTCACAATTGCAAAAGTATGAAACCAGCCAAAATGCTCATCAACCAATGAATGGATAAAGAAAATGAGGTATATGTATACCATGGAATACTACTCGGACATAAAAAGCAGCAAAATAATGGCATTTGCAACAACCTGGATGGAGATGGAGAACATAATTCTAAATGAAGTAATTCAGCAATGGAAAACAAAACATCTTATGATCTCACTTATAAGAGGGAGCTAAACTATGAAGATGTAAAGGCATAAGAATGATATGGTGGACTTTGGAGACTTGCAGGGAAAGGGTGGGATGGAGGTGAGGGATAAAAGACCACATATTGGGTACAGTACACTGCTTGGGTGATGGGCGCATCAAAATCTCAGAAATCACTATGAATGAACTTTTTCATGCAACCAAACACCACCTGTTCCCCCAAAACTTTAAAATAAAAATAATAAGAAAAAAAAAGAAATTTTCTTTTTTTGTTGTGTCTCTGCCGGGTTTCGTTATCAGGATGATGCTGGCCACATAAAGTGAGTTAGGGAGGAGTCCCTATGTTTCTATTGTTTGGAATAGTTTCAGAAGGAATGGTACCAGCTCTTCTTTGTACCTCTGGTAGAATTTGGCTGTGAATCCATCTGGTCATGGGTGTTTTTTGGTTGGTAGGCTATTAATTACTGCCTCAATGTCAGAATTTATTATTGGTCTGTTCAGGGATTCAACTTCTTCAGCCAAATCATGAGTGAACTCCCATTCACGATTGCTACAAAGAAAATAAAATACCTAGTAATACAACTTACAAGGGATGTGAAGGACCTTCTCAGGGAGAGCTACAAACCACTGCTCCAGGAAATAAGAGAGGACACAAATAAATGGAAAAACATTCCATGCTCATGGATAGAAAGAATCAATATCATGAAAATGGCCATACTGCCCAAAGTAATTTATAGATTCAATGTGATCCCATCAAGCTACCATTGACTTTCTTCACAGAATTAGAAAAACTACTTTAAATTTCATATGGAACCAAAAAAGAGCCTGCATAGCTAAGACAATGCTAAGAAAAAAGAACAAAGCTGGAGGCATCATGCTACCTGACTTCAAATTATACCACAAGGCAACAGTAACCAAAACAGCATGGTACTGGTACCAAAACAGATATATAGACCAATGGAACAGAACAGAGCCCTCAGAAATAACACCACACATCTATAACTATCTTATATTTGATAAACCTGACAAAAACAAGCAATGGGGAAAGGATTCCCGATTTAATAAATGGTGTCTAGAAAACTGGCTAGCCATATGCAGAAAACTGAAACTGAACCCCTTCTTTACTCCTTATACAAAAATTAACTCAAGGTGTATTAAAGACTTAAACATAAGACCTAAAACCATAAAAACCCTAGAAGAAAACCAAGGCAATGCCATTCATGACACAGGCATGGGGAAAGACTTTATGACTAAAACTCCAAAAGCAATGGCAACAAAAGCCAAAATAGACAAATCGGATCTAATTAAACTAAAGAGCTTCTGCACAGCAAAATAAACTATCATTAGAGTGGACAGGCAGCCTACAGAATGGGAGAAAATTTTTGCAATCTATCCATCTGACAAAGGGCTGATATCCAGAAGCCACAAGGAAATTAAACAAATTTACAAGAAAAAAACAAACAACCTCATCAAAAAGTGGATGAAAAATATGAACAGATACTTCTCAAAATAAAACATTTATGTGGCCAACAAACATATGGAGAAAAGCTCATCATCACTGGTCATAAGAGAAATGCAAATCAAAACCACAATGAGATACTATCTCATGCCAGTTAGAATGGCAATCATTAAAAAGTCAGGAAACAACAGATGCTGGAGAAGATGTGGAAATAGGAACGCTTTTACACTGTTGATGGGAGTGTAAATTAGTTCAACCATTATGGAGGACAGTGTGGCGATTCCTCAAAGATCTAGAATCAGAAATACCATTTGACCCAGCAATCCCATTGCTGGGTATATACCCAAAGGATTATAAACCATTCTACTATAAAGACACATACACTCGTATGTTTATTGCAGCACTGTTCACAATAGCAAAGGCTTGGAACCAATCCAAATGCTCATCAATGATAGACTGGATAAAGAAAATATGGCACATATACGCCATGGAATACTATGCAGCCATAAAAACGGATGAGTTCATGTCCTTTGCAGGGACATGGATGAAACTGTAAACCATCATTCTCAGCAAACTAACACAGAAACAGAAAACCAAACACTGCTTGTTCTCTGTCATAAGTGGGAGATGAACAATGAGAAAACATGGACACAGGGAGGGGAACATCTCACAAAAGGGCCTGTCAGGGGGTGGGGGGCTAGGGGAGGGATAGCATTAGGAGAAATACCTAATGTAGATAACAGGTCGATGGGTGTAGCAAACCACCATGGCATACATATACCTATGTAACAAACCTGCATGTTTGGCACATGTATCCCAGAACTTAAAGTATTATTAAAAAAATAAAAAACGAAGGCAGTTAAAATGTACTTGTTATAAAATTTAAATAAATAGCTCATTTTATAGTATATAGTATTTATAGTATTTAGTATACAGTATTTGCCACTTGAAACTGTTGTATCCCCCATTTTCGATGCAATTAAAACCATTTCAAGATTGGGCATTCAAGGTGGATGACTAGAAGCAGTGTGAACCCCAAAAACTTGAGATAGGTCTCAGAAAGAAAGAAAAAAAAATCCTTGTGCTTTAACTGTGGAGACACACATAGAAACTGTACTCATTGAAATTACATACCATGGACTTGTATTCAAACCTAAGTTACTTTCTTCAATATTGTTTGGTGTTAGACATACTGGGAATTTTCAGTGTCATTTCTTGATCCCGTTTTAGTTGAAGACAATTTCCAATATTAGCTTTCATGACTTGCTTTGACTTCTGCAATAATTTCATGATTTCTAATTAAATATCTTATACTGAAAGGGTATTGAGTTGAACATTCTTTTTTTATTTCAAGCTAACTTATACTAGATTTTAATACTGAAATAATTAATGGCTATATTCCAACATTTGAAGTTCATGTCTTCTTTTAAAGGTATTATTCTGTTTTAGTGGTTCTTAACTTTCATTTGGAGATTTTCTTATAAAAAGTAATTAAAATTTGAGGAAAAGTTAGCAAAAACCCCTATGTCTTTCATCATTTGAATAGCGAACATCAAATAAAAACATGTTCAGAGAGGCCTCTGGTAGGATTTGCTAGGTGGAAGAACCACTAAAGGATATATCTTTCAAATATCATTTACATATGCCAGGAGGGCATAATGACAGGCATTAAAGAGCTGAAATCATTGTGTCATTCAAGAAAAAAGCTGAGATACTGATCCACATTGGAATTTGTTAAATCAAGTTTACAACTTAATAATAATGGTTAAATACTTAGAAAAAACCCCAAGAAACACAATGCATAACTACTAAAACCAGTGTAGTTAAAAAAGACAATAAAAAAGCTTTAATCCAAAATAAAGAAACAGAGGAAAAAAAAGGAGCCCAGTCGGGGGGCTGAATTTCTATTTTGAATTGACTAAAGTAGATTTGGAAGCCCAGTTGAGGGGCTTCCAAATCTACTTTAGTCAATTCAAAATAGCATCCTCCTCTTTCTTGGAAGAATACTAGTGTCAGTGAGGGATAATTGCATGGGGGCTGACAAATATGATTTGGGTGAAAATGTGTTCAGAACTGGGCATACTAAGATAGCCAAGACAATGCATTAAAAGAATGAAATACAGCTGCTATAGTCTGAATACTTATATAATCCCAAAATTCATATGTTAAAATCCTAATGGCCACCGTGATAATTTTTAGGAGGTGGAACCTTTGAAAGGTGACTAGGTCTTGAGGATGGAGATGTTGTAATTGGGATCAGTGCCCTTTCAAAAGAGGCCCAAATGAGCTCATTCTTCCTTTCCACCATGTGAGGACAGAGCAAGAAGACACCATCAGGAAAGTAGCCCTCACTAGACACTGAATCTGTTGGCTCTTTGATCTTGGACTTCTCAGCCTCCAGAACCGTGAGGAATACATTTCTGTTTTTTCCAAGTTACCCAGTTTATAATATTTTGTTATAGCAACCTGAATGGACTAGGACAAGGGATTTTCCAGTATTTCGGTAGCCAACTAGATTCTATAAAAGTTGGTTATAAACAATTAGTGTAGGTTATTTACTGGAAAGGGAAAAGGTAATGAAACAGAGTCTAGGAAAGATATTCCAGGAGAGGACTGATACTACATTTCTGCACTAAAAAGAATTCATACAACACAATTCTTTTTCTATTTTGTGCAATGTAAAGACTCAATGATTAGTTCATCAACAGCTGTAGTTCAGTGAAATTACATCATTTACACCTGACCTGAACTAGTGTCTGATGTTGATTCACATAGAACAGCATCCCAAGGCTGGGATGATGAGATTACAGTGTGTGTAACCTGGGAAGCAATAATGTAATAGCATATGTGTAGCGATTTTAAGAATGAAACGTTTTAATTTTATATTTTCAATTTGTGATATTCTTCCCAGTCCATTGACTTAAGAAAGTCAATGTTTTCTTATGACTTTTCTATGTAACACCCTCTTCTTCCAATGTTCTTATGTTTTTTTAAGCTCTTTTAAACTCTTTTCTCCTTATTTGTCACTAATTTCTTCACTTGACCTTATTTTGTTCTTCATCTTAATTCCTATTCTTTCTTTGATGCTCTTCTCTAACTTCCTTATTCTGTCTTTCACTTTTCTGTTTTTATTTCATGTGCATCATCTGCAATTTTAAAAAGCTCCAGTGCATTCCATAGGCATTAATTTAATTCCATGCACATACCCAGAATTCCTTCTCTCTACTAGTGAGTAGCTGAAGTTTTTGCTACCTTACACACTAATTGTGTGGTTTGGCCAAGTTACTTGGCTTCTGCATTTCAAATGAACATATGTGTCTAAAGAAGATAATAGTAATGCCCACCTCATTAAGCTGTGAAGGTGAGTGTAGAGGGTTAAAACATGGCTACTGTTCGTAAGTATCAAAAGCAATTTACATTCTAGTGATATTTCAGAAAAGTAAATCACTTACCCTAAGAAAGGCTTACTAAAATGCGTACCACATGGGGAAAGGACTTATAACTTGAAACGAACTGGTCTATCGGTTGCCTGAAGACTTAGATGAGACCCAATTGTCTCAGTGCTAATTCTGCAACTTGAAGTGAGAAGACATTCAATATATCTAAGTTGATCCTTAGGTTTTCATTCAGGCAAATTATTTTAAAGTTATAAGGAACATGGGAATTATAGTTAATGTGAAATTGGGATATGAAAGTCCCTAGACTGGAATAACCAAGTTCCTTGAAGATGGTCTGAAAATAGTCAGTTTAACAAAGCTAAACCTACATTTTGAAAAAGAGTCTGAAGAGAAAATAGTACCATTTCATTTACATTTTTATTGTGTGGCTCGTTGAGAAAGTACTAAAAATAGATTGCTTGGCTTTGAGCCTGGATCGATGATTCTTGGAGTTGTTTTCTTTTCTTTTGGAGTGGGGTGAGTTTATATCTACTGTATGATTTATCAGATGGCAGAAAAAGACCTCAGTAGAAAGGCTATGATTACAGTTACTATGTATTACAGGCAGAGAAGCAACATTTTAAGTTATTGATATTACTGTTACAGAAAAATAATTGTCTTCAAGTCACAGACCACAAGATCCCCTAACAGCTTTCTTCAATTAAACTGAGGCTTTACATTTTAAGAAATGACTCTAAACTGTGGATTTTGTCATTCTGGCTTTGGGGAATTAAGTCTTTAAGTAAAATTGATGTGGCAAAGACACAGAAATACACTTGACTTTCAAATAAAGGGATAGATCTTAGATACTCTCTTATGAGTAGACAGGTGACAGTGAACATAAGAAGATGAGGTGTCCTAAATACTGATAATAGGTATAGACAGTTCACAGTCAGCCGGCACCTTTCGCAGATTGGGTACAGCCCATCTACAATTTCTCACTGCAAAGAGAGTAACTATATATTTTTTTACAAAATGAAGAATCTGTCCATATGTGAACATATCATACTGACTCTTAACATTTCATTTCTTTTCTCTCGAGAGAGATGGCTTTAGTGTCTCTTTGTGGGGTATGTACGAAGGAGACCTTTAAAGACATCTATGTCCAAATGCCATGCCAGAAAAAAAAAACAAAAAAAAAACTATTATCTTGGCTGTAGCTTTGCTCTGTTGGTCCCACCTCATACAAATTCCCAGGTCACGGGAACATTCATGTAGTATAGTTTTAACATTTACAGTTGTGTAATGCTATCTTGCACCCAAGTTGTTCTCAATATCCAGAATTTTTTAAAAGACGAATCACACCTAAATAAGAGGTTAGTATATTTTGGAATAAACCTGGATTTTTGTGGTGCAAAAAAGGCAAGGAGGGAAAGATAATTTTTTATTTGAATACTCACCAAGATCCAGCTATGTTTTGTACATCAAACTGAGTATACTTTGAGTAATTTATATTTTATCCTCATTTTTAGAGAAAAGCAAGACACCGAAAAGTCAAATGATATGTCCCAAGTCACTCAGTTACTGAATAGAAATCGGAATTGAAGCTAAATTTGTCATTTCAAACTTAGAGAAATAGCCAGACCACCGCACCCTCACTTGGTGATTAAAGAAAGGACAATAAGCAGGAAATGATTCCACAGTTCTGTGACATCCTTTTCCCTCTAGTATTGAATAAATTAATATTTATTGATTGCCTAAAATATACGAAGACATAATTTGGTTTGGAAGTCTAAATAAGAGAAATAATAAATACAAAGTGTTTTGGTGGGCTTGTGATGAATGTTTTAATGCCACTTCAGGGCTACAATTTTTAGAATTGAGAATGGATCAAGGGGTCCTGCAACCAGGAAAATTTTAGTCAGGAAACTGGATGCTAATCTTCATTGTTAGCTGAAATTCTGAAGTGTGATAGGGAGACATGTTGAACACATATCCCCATGGTGGGAACAGGGAAGTCTAACATCTCACTTTTGCTTCCCACACACTATTCTCAAAAGTTCTCTTCTCTCTCCAGCTTCCAACCCAATCTCAATTTCCTATACCCTTAGGTATATCTGGGGACAAATTCCAGCAAAGCAATTCTGTCTCATATTCTACTAGGGAAGAAGAGGGTCTGGACTGAGGAGAAAAAGAGTCCTTTAATTTAGGAGCTAATGAGTTAACTCTATTGTTGTCATCATAGAGTTCCCTCTAGAGCAATCCAGCACATTCGGCTTAGAGTTGGAAAGGTCAAACTCTATAGGAAGGTAAGTGTGATGGTTAATTTTAGGTGTCAACTTTACTAGATTAAGGGATACTCAGATAGCTGATAAAGTGTTATTTCTAGGTATGTCTGTGAGGGTATTTCTGGAAGAGATTGGCATTTAAATCAGTAGACTGAGTGAGGAAGATCCACCCTCCTCCAATGTTGGCAGGCACCATCTAATAAGCTGAGCACCCAGATAGAACAGAAAAGGTGAATTCTCTCTCTCTCTTCTAAAGATGGGACACCCGTCTTCTCTTGCCCTCAGATATCAGAACTTGAGTTCCTCCTACTTTTTAACTCCAGGACTTGCACAGCAGCCTGCCAGGTTCATAGACCTTTGGCCTGAGAACGACAGCAGTGGCTTCCACAGTTCTGAGGCCGTTGGGCTTGGACTGAGCCACTCTACCAACGTTCCTGGTTCTCTAGCTTGTAGATGGCCTGTTGCAAGACCTCTCCACTATTGTGTGAGCCAATTCCCCTAACAAATCTCCTCTCATATGTCTTTATCTATGTGTGTATGTATGTATGTATGTATGTATGTATGTATGTATGTATGTGTGTATCTATTTATCTATCTATCAATCATTTCCTATTGGTTCTGTTTCTCTGGGGAAATCTAATACAAGAAGGAAGGGAATTTCTTGATATTATGTACCATACTATATTACAAATTATTATGTTAGGTTTTATTTGTAACTAGTCCATATTCAGAAATATACTTAGTGCATATTCAGAAACAGTATCTAGGGCGAAAAGCACAGGAAGTACAAATTAAAAGTCATGGATTTGACTTTGACCCAAATGTTGGACAAAACACAAGATTCTTCATCCCATTACTGCTTCCTCAATTCACTGAAATGGCATACAACATATTCTTAAGAATGGGAATCAAGGGCCAAGTTCAAATCTCGAGAACATGGATATGGATGGAAATGGCTGAAAGAGATACCAGAACAGAACAAATTGCCTTCAAAGTGGGAGGTAAGCAATGTTGTTTTTAAAAAAGCATTACAGAACTTTCAAATTCATTAAATAAATTAAATAAAGGGTGGATTGGGTTAGTCAGATCTCCCCTTTACTTTAGACATTGGCTTTGCCTGTTTGGGCCACTATAATAAAATACTATAGTGTGAGTGGCTTATAAACAACATAAATTTATTTCTCAGAGTTCTGAAGCCTGGGAAGTTCAAGATCAAGGTGACAGCAGATTCAGCGTCTTGTGGAGGCCTGCTTCCACGTGGAAGGGCTGTTCATAGACAGTCCCTTCCAGCCCTGTCTTCACATGGCAGAAGGGGCAAGGGATCTCTGTGGTGTCTCTTTTATAAAGGCACTAATCACAATCGTGAGGTCTTAACCCTCCCAAAGTCCCCACCTCCTCATACTCTCAGCTTGAGGGGTGAGATTTCAACATATGAATGTGAGGGACAAAAACATTCCGACTATAGCAGTTGTACACAAAGCAATTGAGTTAAAGCCCGAGAAATCTCCCAGAGAAGCGCTGATCTGTCTGGGGAGGGCTCCTTGTATGTGCTTAGGAGCTGAAGTAAGAAGAGGAATAGAGGCTAAGGGAACTCTGGACTTCTGCAAATGATATAAAAGGATTACACAAACAGGGAAAGGTAACACTGTCCAAAAGGGATGTTAGGTTGGCAATTGGCTGGTCTGCCTGCCTGTCCCTTGCCCGTGGACCCTAAGAGGAAGCCTGCTTGTCAACATCTCTGCCTGGTGATGTAGACCCTGCAGTGATTCTTCCCACCCAAAAGGATGATATCAGGAGAAAAAGACTTCCACCATACATAAGATTCCCCCAGAGCCAGCCATCTATATGTTAAGAAGCTACATTCTTCATCCATAAATATGGAATGACAACTGAGCATCTTAAGGCATTTAAAGAAAAAAAAAATGGCAAAACTGAAAATACCAGGAAATAGAAATAGAATGGCAGACTCTGGAGGAAACAGAAAAAAAATTAATTTGGTGAAGAAAAGAACTTCACATTTTTCTAATTGTTTTCCTCATGATATTTGATAGCATATTGCATATATGGAAAAAAGGAATAGCATGCTATATAGAAAGAATAAATCAAAAAGTAGAAAATATCCTTGGAAATTGAAATTATAATTGTCTTAACTTTTTAGAAATTCAAAAGATCTGCTCAATAATAGACTGAAGAAGACTGAATACTGAATTAGTGACCTGAAAGATAGCCTACATTAATTTGTCAGTCTCTATAAAGTATGTAAACCCGACAACACTCTTCTAATGTAGGTATTAATGTTATCCTTGTTTTCTAGACGAAGAATCACATACACACTGAGATGAAGTAACTAGCTCAAGGTCACAGAGCAAATTAAGTTGGCCGCTACAGAATTCTAACTCAGATAGTCTGTAGTGCAGAAAAAGATAAATATGTAGAAATTATAAAATTAAAAATTAAGAGGCATGGGAAATAGAGAAATCCCATCAATTCATGTAACAGAAGTGTTAACAATTATGAGATAATAAAGAATAAATAAAAAGAGAAATAAACAAATAATGGCATTTTCAATGGGACACAAAAAGATCAGAATCTTCAGCTACATGAACAGGTGTTTTGGAAAAAAGACATTCATTTGGACAACAAATCTTTGTAAAATATAAAGATAAAGATACGTCAAAAATTACAGAGAGTTAAAAATGTCACCTACAAAAAAAAAATTCAGAGTCATGCAATGTTGCATGGTTGGGGTCAATGATGCCTCTAATGTTTATAGGAAGGATAATTTCATCCTACAAGTGTATTTTCAGGTAAGGTATTAATTAAGTGAAAATGTAAGGAAGAGATATTTGTAAAGAAGCCAAATTATGTAAGTCCCCTTTCCAAAACTTTCCACTGGTTCTTTACTCCAAGTAATTAAGTCCTTATAAAGGTCCATAATGCTCTGTATGTTTTTCATCTTACTGTCCTCATCTCTTAAATTTCTATCACTCTTCTGTGGTCACATTGACCACCCTACTCCTCCTGTAGAAGGCCAGATATGTTCTAACTTGGCCTTTGCAGTAAGTATTTGAATAACTCTCTTCTCCATATATGATTCGCTCCCCTACTCCCATGAAGTCTACTCTCAAATGTCACTTTCTCAGTAATTTTTCCCCTAGGTGCTGTATATAAAATTGCCTTATTCTTATCACCCCATTATTGATACGTTTCTCTCCTGCTTTATCTTTCTATATAGCATTTATTATATGGCAGATGCAGCTTTTATTATCTATCTCCATCCACTGGAATATAATTTATAGGAGAGTGAAGATGCTTGCTTGTTTAGTTCACTGTTGTAGTCCCAGAATCCACAATGGTGCCAGGGACATAGAATCTCAGTATATATTTGCTGAATAAATGTTGAACAATCTGCAAGAATATTTTCAGAAAATTTCAGAGGCAGGAGGTAAAAGTTCTTGCCCTTGAACTTGTAAGGCAGGTGAGATTTGACTTAATTTGTACTTACGTGAAGAAAACTCTATTTTACTGTTTCTAACTCTAATATTTAGTCACCTATATTACATTAATTCCCTAATGAATGCATAAAAATACAAAATGGTAGTAAATTTGTAATTTTGCAGTTCAGTTGTGTTAACCCATATTGTGCATATTTATCCCTTTATACGTAGACCATAATAGCTCCTCAATTAGAAACCTATAATAATGAAAATCAACATGGCTAACTATTAGGTGATACTTACGTCTGAAAATAAATATGGCCGAACCAAGCTGGCTTCAAACACACATACACACACACACACACACACACACTCACACGTATGTGTATATATATATACACACATATATATACATACATATATCTATATAGATAGATAAGTATTATTATTATCCTTGTTTTCTAGATGAAGAATCACATAGACACTGAGATGAAGTAACTAGCTCAAGGTCACAGAATAAGTTGTATGTATGTATGTATGTATGTTTGAAACCAGCTTTGTTCTGCCATATTGATTTTATATGTTTGAAGCCTCCTCTTGGCCATGTTTTAGCAAAAATATATATTTTTGCTGAAAAAATAGACTTGGTCTTAGCAAATAGCTTGAATATCCTTTCTTGCAACAAAATGAAAGAATAATCAGTTTTCCTGGAGAAATGACTCAAAGGTTGCATCTAACTTTATTTTTAACTTATCTGCAGACTTCTATAAAACTCAGAGATCCCATCCCTACTTTGTGAAGTAAGAGAAACAAGCCTAGAGACTGCAAACAAAATTTAAACAGTTGTAAAAAGATAACTGCACCTCTCCCTCTCCCCCTCCCCCTCCCCCCTCCCCCTCCCCCTCTCCCTCTCCCTTATCTTTCTTTCTTTGGTCTCCCTCAGTTGCTGAGGCTGGACTGTACTGCCGTGGTCTTGGCTGGCTGCAGCCTCCCTGCCCCGGGCTCCCGTGGTTCTCCTGCCTCAGCCTGCCGAGTGCCTGGGATTACAGGCGCGTGCCACCACGCCTGACTGGTTTTTGTATTTTTGGAGGAGACGGGGTTTCGCCCTGTTGACCAGGCTGGTCTCCGGCTCCTGACCTCGAGTGGTCTGCCCGTCTCAGCCTCCCAGGGTGCTGGGATTGCAGACGGAGTCTCGCCCACCCAATGCTCACTGTTGCCCAGGCTGGAGTGCAGTGGCGTGATCTCGGCTCGCCACAACATCCACCTTCCAGCCGCCTGCCTTGGCCTCCCAAAGTGCTAAGATTACTGCCCGGCCACCACCCCGTCTGGGAAGTGGGGAGTGTCTCTGCCTGGCTGCCACCCTGTCTGGGAAGTGAGGAGCATCTCTGCCTGGCCGCCCATCGTCTGGGATGTGAGGAGCGCCTCTGCCCAGCCGCCCAGTCTGGGATGAGAGGAGCGCTTCCACCTGGCCGCCCTGTCTGGGAAGTGAGGAGCGCCTCTGCCTGGCCGCCACCCCATCTGGGAGGTGAGGAGCGCCTCTGCCCGGCCGCCCATTGTCTGGGATGTGAGGTGCGCCTCTGCCCGGCCGCCACCCCGTCTTGGGAGGTGAGGAGCGCCTACGCCTGGCTGCCCATCATCTGGGATGTGAGGTGCGCCTCTGCCCGGCCGCCACCCCATCTGGGAGGTGAGGAGTGCCTCGGCCTGGCTGCCCCATCTGGGAGGTGAGGAGTGCCTCTGTCCCGCTGCCCCATCTGGGAAGTGAGGAGCGCCTCTGTCCCGCTGCCCCATCTGGGAAGTGAGGTGTGCCTCTGCCAGGCTGCCCCGTCTGGGAAGTGTACCCAACAGCTCCGAAGAGACAGCGACCATCGAGAACGGGCCATGATGACGATGGCAGTTTTGTCGAAAAGAAAAGGGGGAAATATGGGGAAAAGAAAGACAGATCAGATTGTTACTGTGTCTGTGTAGAAAGAAGTTGACATAGGAGACTCCATTTTGTTCTGTACTAAGAAAAATTCTTCTGCTTTGGGATGCCGTTAATCTATAACCTTACCCCCAACCCCGTGCTCTCTGAAACATGTGCTGTGTCAACTCAGGGTTAAATGGATTAAGGGCGGTGCAAGATGTGCTTTGTTAAACAGATGCTTGAAGACAGCATGCTCGTTAAGAGTCATCACCACTCCCTAATCTCAAGTACCCAGGGACACAAACACTGCTGAAGGCCGCAGGGACCTCTGCCTAGGAAAACCAGAGACCTTTGTTCACCTGTTTATCTGCTGACCTTCTCTCCACTATTATCCTATGACCCTGCCACATCCCCCTCTCTGAGAAACACCCAAGAATGATCAATAAATACTAAAAAAAAAAAAAAAAAAAGATAACTGCATAAACTTGGAGAAACAAATTCATATCGAAACAGTTTTTCTATTTTGTAGTAAAAATACATGTTTCTCTTTTCTTTTTACATGCAAGTGAGGTAAATAATTATTAAATTCAAATAGCCACTCCTTCTACTGTGTCACACACATAGTACCATCAATCTGCTTTGTGATAGTCATCTTTATTACCTATGTTTTAAAGCTCGAGGAAAACTTCAATAAAACTCTGATTTTCCATGTAATTATTATTTCTTTTTGAAAGCAAGATAATTTTAGCAAAAAAAAGAGGTAAACTGTGTTGCACCATCCCCATCTCCAGCCTACCATCTCCAGGCTACCATCTCCCCTCTCTAGTACTTACAGGGTGCTTAATTTGCACAAGGCTATTAACATGCATTGTTTGATTTGGCTTCTCAAGCCAATTATTGACATCAGTACCACTACCATTCACTCTTTAAAGACATAAAAATTAAGGCTCAGATAGAGAAACCATCTTGACCCAAGTTAGTCTTCTATCTCCAAACACATGATGTTCCCATTCTGGAAAAGTAGTCCCTGGTCCTTATACCTTGGAGATGATATACAGTGTTTCTCAAACTTGAGTGTGTACCAGAATCACCCAGAAGGCTGGTTAAAGCACAGATTTCTGGGCCCCATGGCCAGAGCTCCTTATTGAATAGATTTAGAATGGGACCCAAAGTATGCATTTCTAACAAGTTGCCAGGTGATGCTCATGCTGCTGATTCAGGGACCACATTTCAATAAGCAATGCAGTACACAAATTCATAACCTCCAGACTTTAAAGAAGCGATGCAGAACTCCCATTCCTACCCCACAAACCTGATCCATTTGTAATTTCTTCCATTTTACTTAATGGCAACATCATTCTGCCAGTAGCCCAGGCCACAGTTTTTGAACTTATTCATGAATCCCCTATTTCCATACATTCTAAATCGAATTTTTCAAATGATCTTTGGAATCTGACCATTTTTCACCATCCCTACTGCTACCATCCTGAGAGAGATGGCATCATCTCTCATCTGGCTCACTGAAATAGACTCCTGTCTGGCCTCTCTGCTTCTAAATAACCCATTGCCAACACAGTAGTTATTGTGAAATTCTCTTAAAATGTAAGTTTATCTCATTTCTCTGCTCAAAACCCTGAAATGACTTTTCACTTTTTCAGAGCCCATTTCCAAGTTTTTGTAATAGCCTAAAAGCCCTATGTGATGTGGCTCTCTGAGCTCTCCATGCTCCGCTCCTGATAAGTCTTCCCTGCTCATTGCACTCCAGCCATACAGGTCTCCTTGTTCTTCTTTGTGTAAGCCTGGCACTCTCCAATTTAATGGAGAGTTCTTCCTTCTTCCTGGAATGCTCTTCCTCAAGTGATTACACACACACACAAAAACAAAAGATCTTATTTCCTTAAAGTCTTTGCTGAAATCACCCATCTCAGTGAGTGTTATGCTGACCATATCCCACCACAATTCCTAACACATCACCTCGCTCTACTTTTTATTTTTTCAAAGCACATATTACCTTGTATAATATAATCTGCTTATTTATTATGGTTTTTATTATATATCTACCCATATTAGAATATATACTCCAAGAGAACGGGGATCTTTGTTATGCTTACTGATGTATTCCAAACTCCTACTATGTGCCTTGCACATAGTAGGCAGAAGGAAATATTTGCTGAATGAATGAATAATTCATTCTCTTCATCTAACATTTTATCATTGGCTGATAAATTCCATGCTAATGAACTGATGTTAGAATCAGCCATTCATCAATACTCTCCCTAAAATAACTTTAGCTCAGTTAGACATAACTACAATTGTCAATAGTTTCTGACTTCTATGTAAATCAGAGGTTTTCCATGACAGTGAAAAACTGGAGGATTGGTGGACTCGAAATGCTGCTAATAACAAATGTCAGCTTTGAGAAATCTGTAATGTAAAGCACCATTATAACAGCAGCTCTAATTCTTTTTGAGTGAAATAAAATATGAAGAAAATTACAGCTTAATTCATATTGTATTCTTTTACAGCATATTTATCATATACTCTTCATTATAAGAGGAAAAATTTAGAATATTGTTACCAAAGAGTAATTTTGCTATATATAGATAAAATATAAATTTGGTTATTTATTATTAAAAATCACTTTCAAAACTTTATAGGGTAAACTCATTTAAAGTAAGACTATATACTTACTATGACATGGAGGCTCTTATTTTTTTTTTCTGTAAAGCAGTGGCTTCTTTTTATGTTTCTTGTACTAACCTGATATTGAGAACATCTGGGACTGTGATCTGACTCCCTTAACATCGAATCTAACCTCTATCTAGTGTGACACCCTCTACTACAGAGACTGAAAATATAAAATGTGATATGTCCCAGAGACCCTTGGAAGTAAGATTCTAAATGCAATTTAGGCTTCACCAATCATATACACTTACTTGAAGCCTGAATTTAGAACTGAGGTAAAGGAGGAGAGAAGATGGGTGACAGACATCCATATTGTCTGGTGTACCTGGGCCTTTACTCTGGTAGCCTGAGACTTTATCTCTTGTAGGCATCTTCTTGATTCTAAAAGGAATATCAGTTCCTCAAGTGGCTGGCCAAGTTTTGTGTTATTTATACTATATATTAAACTTGCTAGACTGGATTGTTTTTTGGCATTTTGACACTGACAACAACAAAATACCAGGACTGGTACTCAATCATCAATGCATAAGTTAGAAGAGGCCTCTGGGCTCCAAGAAGAATTACTACACCAGAATTATACTATATTTGGAAGAATTTCAATGATCCTTTAGTTCAACCACCTCATTTTCCAAGTGATGAAACTGGGAACCGGCTACTTTCTCAATTTGATTGATAATAGGGCCATACCTAGACTCCAGAAGCTCATGACTATTTCTAGAGCAGCTCTTATTATATAACATAGACTTGAGTCTAAAGTGTTAATTATGCTGTTATCTTTGTGATTTTGGAAAATTCATATATTGGTAGAAGAGGCAGAAAAACAGGGGAGAAAAACTTGAATGCTGCAATCAGACAGTGCTACTATCTTCACGTTTTAATATAGTCATTCCAGAAATAATGTGGTACAGCTTTACATTGTGGATATTAGCAATCTTTGAAAAGGCAGTAGTGAAGAAAAAGTGTGTTCTTTGGAGACCACTGTGTAATAAGCTCCAAAACTTAATTTTAATCTAATTCAATAAAACATATCATACTCAGACACAGGAATATAAGACAATAGTTAGAAGGCACTGAAAATTTGTCTTGGGTTTAGAGCCTGGTGCCTTAAAGCTCAAAATAATGAAAAATTTAAAAACAAACTGTCCTTGATTAATCCCTCATATTTCCAAACTTGTTGAGGTAATTACATTTTAAACTCCTGTTTACTCCTAAGTATTACCTATTGCCTCCAAGAATTTGGCTTACTATAATATGGCTCTGATATTACTTATTAGAGGATAGTGATTTAGAATGTATTAGAGTATCTTTTTCTGTTCCTTCTGCTTAAAGACAAAGAAATATTAATGTATGCCTGATAGCCTGAGAGCCACAAAAATCTCAGAAATCTGTGTTCTAGTGGAATAACATACCTAAACTTTATCAGTGGATTATACTTTTCAATCCACCTACTGTTGAGAATGTCAATATAACAGAAAGTAATGTAGTCCTAACAAAACTTGTAGAACTTCTATTGACAAGCAACTATATTAATGACATAATAAATAAAAAAGCAGGGCATAAAGCACTATAGAAAGCATTTTTGTAACTATATTATATCTGTATCCACAGCCAGATCCACATTAACATCTATTCTAAATTTAAGATTGTAAAAATATACATCAACATGGATTGTGGCAGTACAGATACTTTTTTGTCTATCTTTTTTTCCTAATTTTTATTCAAGTTATATATATTACTTTTGTAATAAGACAAAAAATAATAGTTGGAACTAGAGGAAGTATCTTCAGGGCTTTAACTTCTGAAGTAAGCAGGGCTTAGCTGGAAGAAAGGGGTATCTAGGAAGCTGGCCACACAGAGGCCCACCAGCCAAGAACCAGGCTTGCAGTGCTGAGTCCCCGTTGGCAGGCACTAATGAAGCATGCATATCAGCCAGGCACATTAGTAAGCCCTGCATGCCCACTTTCATAATGTGCCTTCACAAAGCTCTGCCTCAGGCAATGAGCCACCTGCCCAAGGATAATGGGTTTGCTAATAAAAGTTTTATTCCGAAAATCATATACTTTCTTCTTACCCTAGCACTGTTAACTTTAAAGAAGGCAAAGCTGTTGTTAATATTGTATCTTTCAGAAACTCCACCTTCTTAATACTACCTGGAGCAAGAAATTGCCTTCAGTTTTTACTGCAATCAGTGAAAATATGCCTCTGTAATCCTTATTTTTCCTGATCCCTCCTAGCTTACATGTATATTATCAAAGAAAATTTTATTTCACACAACTTTAAATCCCAGCTGTGTCCTGAAAAATAACTTTCATGTCCAATCTCCTCATAGCTGTATCCAAATTGTGAGAAAACCTAAATCCAGTTTAATTTAGTATTAGTTCTGAGTTTTTGCATTAAAAAAGGGTTAGGGGTGAAAACAGGTGTGTGTGGGCGCAGTGTTTAGAAACATGCTGAGAGGGTTAATTTTATGTATTGGCTTGGCTAGGTTATGATGCTCAGTTGTTTGGTCAAACAGTAGTATAGGAGTTTTGGAGATGTGGTTAACATTTATAGGCAGTTGACTTTAAGTAAGGCAATTTGCCCTCTAAAATGTGGATGGGCCTCATCTAACCAGTTGAAGGCCTTAAGAACAAAAGCTGAGGTTTCCTGGTGAAGAAGGAATTCTGCCTGACAACTGTAACATAGAAATCCTATCCGAGGTACCAGTCTGCTGGTCTTCCCTAAAAATTTTGAACTCAAGACTGCAACTTCAACTCTTACCTGAATGCCCTGCTCGATAGCCTACTCTACAAATTCAGACTTACCAGCCTCCATAATTGTGCAAACCAATTCCTTAAAATGCTTTTGTCTTTCCCTCTCTCTCTAGAACCCAGACTGATACACCCACTTTTACCTAGATGTAAGCAACATTTGTATAATTTTCTTTTTTATTTTATTTTATTTTAACTCATATGCCAGCCATGCTCAATCCTTGGCTGGGAACCATCTTGGGAGACCATAAGCATGGCTTAAATACAGCAGTGGATGCCAAATGGGGAAGCCATCAGCTAACTGCATTCTTTGAAACATGTTAATTTAAGTGGCACATCTCCATGGCTGCCACAAAGGCTGTATATGATCCATTTTAATTTAACAAACATTTATTGTTTGCCAATTTTATTTATTTCTTTCTTTATTTAATTTATTTTTATTATACTTTAAGTTCTGGGATACATGTGCAGAACATGCAGGTTTGTTACATAGTTATACACGTGCCGTGGTGGTTTGCTGCACCCATCAACCTGTCATCTACATTTGGTATTTTTCTTAATGCTATCCCTCCCCTAACCCCCGATCCCCCAGTCTGGCCCCAGGGTGTGCTGTTCCCCTCCTTGTGTCCATGTGTTCTCATTGTTCAGCTCCCACTTATGAGTGAGAACATGCGGTGTTTGTTTTTCTGTTCTTGTTTTAGTTTGCTGAGAATGATGGTTTCCAGCTTCATCCATGTACCTGCAAAGGACATGAACTCATCCTTTTCTATGGCTGCATAGTATTCCATGGTATATATGTGCCACATTTTCTTTGTCCAGTCTGTCATTGATGGGAATTTGGGTTGGTTCCAAGTCTTTGCTATTGGGAATAGTGTTGCAATAAACATACATGTGCATGTGTCTTTATAGTAGAATGACTTATAAACCTTTGGGTATATACCCAGTAATGGGATTGCTGGGTCAAATGGTATTTCTGGTTCTAGATCCCTGAGGAATCGCCACACTGTCCTCCACAATGGTTGAACGAATTTACACTCCCACCAACAGTGTAAAAGCGTTCATATTTCTCCACATCCTCTCCAGCATCTGTTGTTTCTTGACTTTTTAATGATCGCCATTCTAACTGGTGTGAGATGGTATCTCATTGTGGTTTTGATTTGCATTTCTCTAATGACCAGTGATGATGAGCATTTTTTCATATGTTTGTTGGCTGCATAAATTTCTGATCTTTGACAAACCTGACAAAAAGAAGCAATGGGGAAAGGATTCCCGATTTAATAAATGGTGTTGGGAAAACTGGCTAGTCATATGCATAAAACTGAAACTGGACCCCTTCCCTTACAACTTATACAAAAATCAACTCAAGGTTGATTAAAGACTTAAACATAAGACCTAAAACCATAAAAACCCTAGAAGAAAGCCTAGGCAATACCAATCAGGACATAGGCATGGGCAAAGACTTTCATGACTAAAACACCAAAACCAATGGCAACAAAAGCCAAAATTGACAAATAGGATCTAATTAATCTAAAGGGCTTCTGCACAGCAAAAGAAACTATCATCAGAGTGAACAGGCAGCCTATAGAATGGGAGAAAATTTTTGCAATCTATCCATCTGACAAAGGACTAACATCCAGAATCTACAAGGAACTTAAACAAATTTACAAGAAAAAAACAAACAATCCCATTAAAAAGTGGGTGAAGGATATGAACAAACACTTCTCAAAAGATTTGTATAATTTTCAAGAGTTTGGAGTGAAAGAAAAGAAAAATCTTTGTCTTGTCTTGCACCATCCTATCACTTTTCCAAGCCTCAGGTTTTCTATCTGTAAAATGGTGATAATAGTACTTACCTAAGGGAAGTTGAAAGGCTTAAATGTGAAGGACTTAGGACATGTCTGGGATAGGGTGAGTATTCAGTGAGTAGTGGCTTAAACAAAATTACTAAAGCCATATTAAGATGTTATTGGGATACTCGATTTTGCCCTCCCAGAATCTCATTCTTTGGGCCATTCATTGTCCTGGGCACCAAAACTCTGCAGGACTTACATCTTAGTAATTCCTTGGGAACACAAGAAATTAGGTAATGCAAATTTTTGTTTTAATATGCATTTGAAAGAGAGCCCCCATGCTGTATAAACTCAGCCACCCAGGCTGACTTAGGTGACATCATTAATATCTATCTAAATCAGACTTAAAGTAATAGTCATTCAATTATCTGATACTGAAAAACATTATTAAGAGAAGTCATAAAAATAAAAATTATGCCCATTGCCACTCACGAAAAGGCCTTGAATAAATAACTTCCCAGAAGGAAAATAATTGACTAATTGCCTCATTCATGTAAGTTTATTTTTCTCACACTTTTATGCCAGGAAATGTTGTAACAAATGATATAAATTTCTGAACTTAGGTAATATGTTAATATATTTAGTCATTTTCTATAAATATTTATGATCAATTGAAATGAAATTTTCTTTTTCCCACTTAATTTACTGAGAATATAAAGAAATTGCAATTATACCGTCTACTGTGGTTACTAATTATAACTTTAGTTTTTTTAGAACTTGAGTTTCCACTAATTTGTAAAAATACATAAAAATTAAAGAAAGTATTTCTGTGTGGAGTATATATGATATATACACACATATATACATACATATACATATATATGATACATATACACATATAAATATGTGTGATACATATGTATATGGTACATATATGTGTGATACATATGTATATTGTACATATAAATATGTGTGATACATATGTATATTGTACATATAAATATGTGTGATACATATGTATATTGTACATATACATATGTATAGTCATTCCTCGGCATCTGTAGGGGATTGGTTCCAGTACTCACCCAAGGGCACCAAAATCCAAAGATGCTCAAGTTTCTTATATAAAATAGCATAGTATTTGCATATAAGCTGTGCACATCCTCTCGTATACTTTAAATTATCTCAGCCGGGCATAGTGGCTCGCGCCTGTAATCCCAGCACTTTGGGAGGCTGAGGTGGGCAGACCACCTGATGTCAGGAGTTCTAGACCAGTCTGGCCAAGATGGTGAAACCCCATCTCTACTGAAAATACAAAAAGCAGCCAGGTGTGGTGTTGCTTGCCTGTAATCCCAGCTACTCAGGAGGCAGAGGCAGGAGAATCGCTTTAACCTTGGAGGCGGAGGCTGCAGTGAGCCAAGATTGTGCCACTGCACTCTAGCCTGGGCAATGATGCAAGACTCCATCTCAAAAAAAAAAAATTATCTCTGGATTACTTATAATACCTAATACAATGTAAAGATTATGTAAATAGTCATACTATATTGTTTTTAGAGTTTGTCTTTTTTTATTTTTATTTTTGTTTAATTTTTGATCTGCAGTTGGTTGAATCAATGGATGTGGAACTCATGAATACGAAAGGCCTGCTATATATACACACACATTGATATAGCTATATAGATAGGTATAAAAGCTTTTTATTAATGATCTAGAAACATGGAGAAATGTGCTTGTGAAGCGTACCTAACTTGTCCCCAGTGCTCTCATCTCTATAATATGAAGCCACTAAAGAGTTTTAGCCAGAGACTACATTCCCTAGCCTTTATTGCAACCAGGTGAGTCATATGATTTTGACTAAGTTTTGGTCAATAGGATGTGAACGAAAACAGGATAAACAATTATCAAACCATAATTCCTAAAAGAAACTGTTTATCCTCCACTTATTTTCCTTTCCTTTTTCTGCTGGCTGGCAAAGGGTGACAGGTGGAACATCTGTCTTGGATCCAGAAATTGAAACCAAGTAGAAGATGACAAAGTAGCACTACCAGCCATTGGGTGGGGCGTGCTCACGTAACCACAAGGACCAGCGCTACCTCCTGTCTCTGGACGGCCTGCCTATGCATGGACTGTAAAGTGAGAAGAAAAAAATCTTCCTTGATTGTGTCCTTGATTTTTTAGATATTTATTACACCAGCTTAGCCTATTCCCTAAATATCACAGAGCCTATCTGCCATCAGGAGATTCCTGCCACCAAATGATTAAACAGTTCCTGCCCATGCAAAAATTCCAGGTTAGTGGAACTATAAATGACTATCCCACAACAACTCAAAATGACCTATACCCCAACAGATACCCAATATGCAACCCAACCAGAAAGTAATTCTTTCAGATTTTCTCTCAAAGTTTTCATAGAAGGGTTTTTTTAAGCTGATGGTTCACATGTATTTGATTGTTTTATTTGTTCTGCATTTCACAAGTCTAAGGTGAAACAATATTTTCATTTAAAATAGTTTATTGCATCAATTAAAATTATCTTGGTTTCATATCCAAGAAATTATCTTGGTTTCATGTCCAGAAAACTGAACTCAAACTGACTAAAAAAGTAGACAAACATGTTAGCTTACTCAGCTGAAGAATAAGGTGATAGTGCTAAGCTAAGGAGTGACTTGAGTCAGAAATTCCATAATGTCACCAAGGACACGCTTTTGTTCTGTTTCTCTATGAGGCTTCCGTACTTGACAGTTTTATCTAAATGCTTGTTCCCTAAGGTCATAAAATAATGACAGGCAGCAAACAGGGCTACACACTGTCTTATTCATGGCCACAAAAAGGGGGGTCTTGTTTTTCCATGAAAAGCCAAGAAGTGTGGATAGATCAGACAGACTAAAGACATGTACCTACTGCAAACCATTTACCTGGGCATGATTCAGTTTTGTTCACATATTCTGTTGCTCTAGGTAGGGATGAAGTCATACCCACACAAAACAAACAGCTTTATATGGGGAGATGAGTGGTTTTCCTAAGAATGGTTGTGCTATTATTCCCAGAAAGAACAGAATACAAGCTTTGTATCCAAAATCTATTTCACGTATATCAATTTCAGTTTATTTGGAAGGTCCCTAAATGATTCTAATGTGATTCAGTGAGATATAATTCTAAGGTTCTGTGTGAGGAATAACCTATTTGTTGATAAAAACTAAAATTATTTTTACCACAATATTATTTCATTAAAAACGAAATCATCAGAAACCAAATTTATTTTATATTCTGAATAATGGTGAAAAAACGTAATTTCCTTTCATGATTTTCCTAGATGGGCTCTATTTTTCTGAGATTGAATATTTCCACAAATGGCAAGTCTAATCATGCATATCCCATTAAGAAGGTGAACAAGATTTAAATATGTTCACCGTATGTAAGCTGAAGATAACAAATATCAACCTTAAGAAGGTTGCTAATTTTCCTGCTTTCTTCACAAACCCCTGTTTCCATCAACAGCCAAAATATTATGTGCTACGTGTTTATACTTCACCGCTTCTGATGGGCTTTGTACTATTATAGAGTAGGTAAGTTTTTAAACTATTGTTAATTTTTAAAATAACTTCTTATCTTCTAGTACTTTAATCAGAAAAAGGAAAAAGATAAGGATGAAACAACTTTCAGGAGAAATGTTAAGGATTCAATTTCATACTCATTATCCAAATAAATTCTATAACAATTAATGACATTTTACCTCTACACAAGGGAATTTTAAACATTTTTTATAGTAAGTTCTGTTTTTCTGTAGCAGTTTCCTAATTAACTTATTGTGGTTTTCTTTTTCAACAAAGAGTGACTAGGCAATCATAAATTGTTCACTAATATTAGAGATATTATGTTCAAAATATAGTCTTATTCTATCTTTAACTCAGCACATGGAATATTTTAATTTCATTATAGTAAGCATGGACACTATAGAGTTAAAACTACAACCTCAAAAATATAATAATAGTTCATCTGATTTAAAAAAATAACATCATGCCTATAATCCCAGCACTTTGGGACACTGAGGTGGGTGGATTACAAGGTCAGGAGTTCAAGACCAGCCTGGCCAAGTCGGTAAAACCCCATCTCTACTAAAAATACAAAAATTAGCCAGTCGTGGTGGCAGGCGCCTGTAATCCCAGCTACTCGGGGTGCTGAGGCAGGAGAATCGCTTGAACCCGGGAGGTGGAGGTTGCAGTGAGCAGAGATAGAGCCACTGTACTCTAGCCTGGGTGATAGAGCAAGACTCCATCTCAAAAAAAAAAAAAAAAAAATTAAAGAAGGCAATCATAGTACCAGTGCATCATTTCCATTTTTGAAGTATCATGGCTATTAATTATACTCAATAATAACAATGACAGCTGAAAACAGAAATTTCTCAAAATATTTTTTGCATATGTTATTGATATTAGAGACTAGACTTGCTACACTAAGCCCACCAAATAGTATTTAATATTATCCCCTTTCCGCTTCCATTGCATCACCAAAACAGGGTTCTGAATAGTCACTGACCTGCCATCTCTAGTATAGAGGGTTAGAATAGAGGCTCTGCCATCAGACAATCTTGGAGGAATTTCAACTTTTCACTCACTAGTTATGTAAAGCTGGACAAGTACCTTAACTCCTATAAAGCTAATTTTCTCATTTGTAAAATAGGGTTACTGATACCTACCTCATAATTTGAGTTAAATAAGACAATGAATGTGAAGTTGAAGGCATGTTTTCTAGTAATCAGTATTACTTCTTATCATTGCTATTTTTACTATTTACTTTTATTGAGTCATACTAGTACCACATACCTAGGTACAAAGGGACAAAGGACATGGAAGACTGGGAGAGATAGGGAGGGTAAATAATATTGATATTATGCCCCTCATTGCCCCAGGACAACTGATTTTGGACATTCCCAAATAGTAGACAACAGTGAAGGAACTTCTACATCCCTCTTTAAACTACTAAAGACACTTCTCCTTTGTCATTTATTTCATGAATGAGCTATAATTTCAAAAGAAATTCAACCTTGTCTAAAATGTCATCAAATTCTTAATTTTGCTTATACTAAGAGAAATAACATAATCCAAGAATCTTATAGGCCACTACGGTGGGTAGTTTTATTAAGAGATAAATCAGATACTGTAACCCTCTTATTGAATGCCCTTCAGTGGCTTCCTATTGCATTCAGAACAAAATCCAAGCTCTTTGATATGACCAGTTAGTAGGGTGTTGGTGCAGCCTTGTGTGCCCAAGACACTTCCAGTTTATACCTATTCTTCTTGCATGATGGTGAATATTACCTCTTCCCTATCACCTTCACTCTTAAAGTTTCCTAGCTCAGAATATAAATTAAGTAATCACTCTTTAAATGAGGCCCAATACATTTCACATCCCATTGCATGCCTGTCTTTACCATAACACTGGCTTTTCTGATTCTTGAGGGCACTACACAGTTTTCTGCCTAAAAGTTTTCCAGCATTTTTCCAAATCTTTTCCTGGATGACTCTTGCCTGTCATCCAAGCCTCAACCTGATTTTACTTACTAAAAAAATGTCTTCTTGAATTCCCCAAACTAAATTTTGATCTCCACATCATTCTTCTCTTTTATAGCACCTTGTTCCTAACCATCCTAGTCCTTATCACAATTTGCCATCACACACACATACAAACACACACACACAAAATAAGGTGTTTAGTGTATGCCTTTCTCACTCCTGCATTGCAAGCTGAAAGAAGTTAAGTATTTTGCATATAATGTTCGCTTTGTAATCTTGCAAAGTCCACTGTATAGGCATTCTGATCCTTATTTCAGAGATGAGATTTGGAAAAAAAAAAAAAACAAGAAGCTTGCCATGCCATTTACAAATGGAGCTAATATTAAAATTCAAGTTTATTTGATTCCATATCCCACACATTTGCCTGTACCATGTTGATCTGAAAACTTAGGTAAACCCTTAGCCACTTCACCGTACTCAATCTTAAAGGGGAGAGAAATAGCAATGAGGAATTTGCAATGAAACTGAAGAAGTCTCGTGGCCAAATTTAGCCTTTACAGTCTCTCCTAAAAGAAAAAGACTGAATAGTTTCTGTGACCTGGAGCTAAGATTCCCAGGACTTACTCCATAATTCAGACATTCAAGAGAGTTCGTTCTTCTTCGGCTGACTTTTTTTTTTTTTTCAATTTTTATTTTAGATTCGGAAGGTGGGGACATGTGCAGGTTTGTTATCTAGATTCATTGCATGGTACTGAGGTTTGGGGTATGAATGATCCCAGGTACTGAGCGCAGTCCTCAGTAGTTGGTTTTTCAACGCTTGCCCCCTCCCTCCCTCTCCCTTCTAGTAGTCTCAAGTGTCTACTGTTGCCATCTTTATATCCCTGAGTACCGAATGTTTAGCTCCCACTTATAAGTGATAACTTGCAGTATTTGGTTTTCTTTTCCTGTGTTAATTTACTTAGGATAGTGGCCTCTAGCTGCATCCACATTGCTACAAGGGACATGATTTCATTCTTTTTATGGCTATGTAGTATTCCATGGTGTATATGTACCACATTTTCTTTATCCAATCCACCACTGATGGGCACCTAGGTTGACTGCTTGTCTTTGTTATTGTGACTAATGCTTTGGTTACCACTTTTTAACTCAGTGATTTTTTAAAAATACATGTCTAACTTGCAGTGTATTTTGTAACTGCTAGTAATTCACACAATCTTGGTTGATTTCTTAAATAAGAAAGCTACAATCAAAGAAGGAATATAAAAAGCAAAACTCTTTTACTCCTAGCACCTTGCATAATATTTGCACATATTAGGCACTCAATAAATATTTGATAAATAAATGATTTTCATGTATTTTAGTGTATATCTAATGTGATATTAAAATGGCATGTTTGAAAGTGATCTTTATTTGAACATTCATTGTACTAAACAAAAACTTCAATTTTAAGAAAACTGGATTTTAAAAATCTCTTGCACATATACATAAGTAGAAATATAATTTTTTTCTATTTAAAAAAGGCTAATTAATAAGAAATCACACTTACGCATGCCATGTAATTCTCTTACAGAAGCTTAACAAAGATTAGTCATAGTGGCTATTGTTTTGCTGGTTAGAAAGAACATCACAGATTTACTTAGACTTTTTTTTGGAAGATAGTTATTAAATACATTTACATAAAATAGTGGCATGAAGATCCTCAATCTAGTAATGCAAGTTTTGAGAGACTGGAGGATTTGGCTACATTTATATTCAAGTGAACTAACGGCACTGGTCCAAAATTTCTTCCATTTTTCTTTTTCTACTAGGCAGGTTTTCATGCTGCATATGCACAGAGTCAGGAATTACACCGTGATGCTGCCCTAGTAGAAGACTCTAAGCACGTTTACATCCTGCTGTGATTTGCCTTCAGTTATTTAGACATTCCCTTTGTCTTTTACATGGCCAATAGCACATTGGTCATTTCTACATTACCAAATACTGCAAGTGTAAACAAATAATTCATGATGAATGTTTCCCCAGCAGCTCAGTCCTTTACACAAGTCCCTTGGGGAAAGTGCCTTTTCAGGCTTTACTATAAAGCATACGATTAAAGCCTCTGGCAAACTGCTGGATTCATTGAATTCTCCTGGTGAACAAATGGATCTGACCAGTGATGGTAATTGAAATAAGTTGGTTGAGGAGCAAAAGCTTTTACTTACTTAGATACTTTTCAAAAGGTGATTTACTTTCTTATGGAAGGGAGGAGGGTACACGAATGCATTTTCTTACATTTTTAGTACTAATACGGACAGAAAAAATAAGGCCTAATGAAAATAGAGGTGCAGAAATATAACTTCAACCTAGACCTGTCATACACCACCGTTTAATTAAACAGCTTGTACTCCTTTACAAGCATATGCCTGGAAATGCATGGTTGGAATGGACAGGCATGCCTTAGCCAAATACTAGTAATAAATGTAACATAAAAATATAACATAAAAATAACATAAAATAACATAACAAATTTATTTTCTTCAAAGTTTCTTTTCTTTTTTCTTTTCTTTTCTTTTTTTTTTTTTTTTTTTAACGCAGTCTCACAGAAAAAGCCTGTTGCCCAGGCTGGAGTGCAGTGGCACGATCTCAGCTCATTGCAGCCTCTGCCTCCCGGGTTTAAGCAATTCTTCTATTCTTCTGTCTTAGACTCCCATGCCTCAGCCTCCCGAGTAGCTCAGATTACAGGCACGAGCCACCATGTCCTGGCTAATTTTTGGATTTTTACTAGAGATAAGCTTTCACCATGTTGGCGAGGCTGGTCTCAAACTCCTGACCTCAGGTGACCCACCCGCCTTGGCCTCCCAAAATGCTGGGATTACAGGTATGAGCCACCGCATGTTATTCTAATATTTGTTTTCCCCCATTCAACAAGGTAACTGGATCTCCCTGGTGCTAGGCTGTGTTCACATCTGGGTTCTGACACTTTCTAGCTTTGTAGCCTTGGGCATGCTACTCCATCTGCCCTGCCCTCAATTTCCTCATTCATAAAAGAGAGATAAAACTAGTAACTGCATTATATGATTTTTGGGATATTAAATGTTTTTTCTTTTATAAAAGCCTGAAGCAATAGTATTGAGAAGCAATACTAGCCCTGGCAGAAACGGGGCTGGGAGTTTGGGGAGAGGTAAGAGAAAGAGATAAATTATGAGCTTGGACTAGACAGCTGGCAAGACTTTTCAAAAGGAAGGAGGCAGAGGGCGATGTAGGCCTGAGGAACTCACACTGACAGTAGGAGAGGGCAGGAAATAGGGAAATAGCTGCATGGTACACGAATGTGTCTGAATCAAGTTCTGAGAAAAATTTCCATGCCCAGGAGGAGGGCAAAATAGCAGCAGAAGCACTGCTACTCATCCATGGCAGCCAAAGTGAAGTCAGTACCAGTGGAAGTCCTCAAGTGTCTTCATTAGATCCCTGGAAATTTTAGAGGCTGAAATGGGCAGGAGGGAAAGGTGGGAGAAAGGGAAGGGTGGTACAATAATGGTAGATGGAATTTCCAGGGAACTCACTAGGATAAGCGTCCAGAATCAGATGAAATTTGATTTTAAGAAAAATGAATGATGAAACATTTCTTGCAATTGAGAGTTTGTGGAGCACAAGTTGTATCTACCAAACATCCATTCTATATTGCCTACTACCATTAGTATTGAGTAACCTTCCACTTCACTTACTTGAGGATCAATTATTAAGTCATTTGCTATAAACTACAATGTTAAAACACTTTTCAAATATTATCAAAAGCATAAAACTTGTATGTTGATTATGATATCCGGTGTCTCCCAATCACAAGAAAAATATCTTTTGGATGAAAATGAACAGATGATAATGAAACAGTAAAACATAATACACATATGTTTTTGAAACTTCCTTGGAGCAGACTACAAATTAATTGTTTAAATATAAATTTTTAAATAAACTTCCAGAAATGTATTACCATGAAATATGATAATAAATATTGAATTATTGAGCAAATAGGAAAATTTTTACTGAAACACATATTGTGTTTTCAGTGTTACTCTTTGTTTTCTTACCACAAAAGTAGTTGGTTAGAAGTGACAGCTTCCCATACTATATTATAGAAAAGAGCAACATATTCTTTACATGATTTCATTTGCCTATACATTTTTATTAAAATGTTGAAAAAATCTAATAAAACAAAAATTCTAAACTAAAATTTCACAAGCAGAAGTTAAGCTCTATCCTGAACCATTGCGGCATTATTCACAATAGCAAAGACTTGGAACCAACCCAAATGTCCAACAATAATAGACTGGATTAAGAAAATGTGGCACATATACACCATGGAATACTATGCAGCCATAGAAAACGATGAGTTCATGTCCTTTGTAGGGACATGGATGAAATTGGAAACCATCATTCTCAGTAAACTATCGCAAGAACAAAAAACCAAACACCGCATATTCTCACTCATAGGTGGGAATTGAACAATGAGATCACATGGACACAGGAAGGGGAACATCACACTCTGGGGACTGTTGTGGGGTCGGGGGAGGGGGGAGGGATAGCATTGGGAGATACACCTAATGCTAGATGACAAGTTAGTGGGTGCAGCACACCAGCATGGCACATGTATACATATGTAACTAACCTGCACAATGTGCACATGTACCCTAAAACTTAAAGTATAATAATAAAAAAAAATTAAAAACTAAAGTTTAATGGAATCTACGATACAAACAAAAATTCCAACTTCAGAATAGATGATTATTCAGTGCCTAACAATATTAATGTATAATTTAAATACTGAGAGCATCCGTGAAAACCTTGAATGATAGGAAGGATCTAGTTGTTAATTAGCTTGCCTACAAGTTTTCCTACTGTCACTGCCTGATAATTTTTAAACAGAAATGCTTCTATCTTAATATATGTGACTTTATAAAATAAATATAATAATATTATAATAATGAATATAATAACAAATATATTTTACACAAATTTGGATATATAGATGACTGAGAGCTTTCCTGAGTGTATATGTAAGAGGAGTCATCCAATTGCCCTTGTTCATTACTTTTACAATTCACTACAGGATAAAATTAAAGATAAAAGCCACAGGAAAGAGTTTAAAATCTTGAAGCCACTTTAAGATAGATGAAAGATTTTTAAAAATTGGATTAAAGCCATAAATTATCTTAATAAATATCCAAAGGTTCACTGGCAAATGAGACTTCTTTTTTTCCTTAATCAATATATTTTTAAAATGTGATTATTGAGACAGAAAGTTGGCATACTCTAGTTATGACATACATAATTAAATCTACAAAAATTACTTGTTTAATTTGGTTGTCTAAGCAATGCTATATAAAATAGTTTTTTTGATGTCTACTTTGCTTGATGAAAATGAGCTTCTCTTTATATATTGACATGGTATTTCATTTCAGCAAATACTGTAGCAATTGCATAGTTATAACCCATTTATTTCAACTGAACTAAACAGAATTTCAGTACACCAGAAACATTTGGACTCTCTCTAAAGTTCAAGATAGGTGAATGTCATTATGTACATGCTGCAACAAGGGTTATGCCATCCACCTTACAAAACTGAGTAGATTTTTATTTGTGATTTTTTTTTGAGGGCAACATTTGAACACTTTGAAACTTTAATTTTGAGATTACCATGGTAACAAGTTCATTCCAAGCATAGTTTTTCTTTTGGCATTGTTGTCATGAGAAGGAATATACAAAACAAAATACTCAGCATGAACGGAGCAGTAAAAGAATGAAGTAAATTACACTTTTGATTCTATGGTTGTCTATTCTTACAACAAAATTAGAATAACTCTAACCATAAAAATGAGTTGCAGAATAAAATGAAATAGCTGCATAGTGATAATGTATTCATGAGTATATACATGAAGTATATCAAAAAAAGGTTGTGACTTCCTTTCAAAGAGGTCAGTTGTATCTGGACTCATTACAAGTCCAATTTGTTCCATAAATCAGATGTGGCACTAGGTAGACTCTTTTCTACCAACAAATCAGTATAAAATTACTGATGCTCTATTTTTCACTTGGGCTCCGCCAGTTCTACCTTGGTGGCCCTGCTGCTCACTGATCCATTCACATCACCCTGTACTCAGAATGACATGAATGCCTCTGCTCCCCGTTAGCTCAGGGAATGTGGCCTCAATCACAATGCCAGCAACCCCTGATCCCTAATGCCATGTATTTAAACAGCTGCTTCTTAAAAGCTGAAACACAGTAAACATAAAAGTTGGTCTTTCTTAAAAGGAGTTTTAGATGTACATTAAAAACATTTAAAATGTACAAACATACACATATTTGAAATATGTTTCCACGCTCATTCTAGGGTACTCACCATACTGACTTACTTAATGCTATTTATAAAAATTTCAGAAAATGTGTCTGCTGCTTGGGCTCACTTTTCTAGGTTCACTACAGCGAATTAAAATGATTGGGATGCAAAGGTTTCAAAGTGACTATGCAAATTTTGTATTTATATGTTTTTAAGATGGAGAGTCTTTTTTTTTTTTTTTTTTGAGACGGAGTCTCGCTCTGTCGCCCAGGCTGGAGTGCAGTGGCGCCATCTCTGTTCACTGCAAACTCCGCCTCCCGGGTTCACGCCATTCTCCTGCCTCAGCCTCTCCGAGTTGCTGGGACTACAGGCGTCCGCCACCACGCCCGGCTAATTTTTTGTATTTTTAGTAGAGATGGGGTTTCACCGTGGTCTTGATCTCCTGACCTCGTGATCCGCCCGCCTCAGCCTCCCAAAGTGCTGGGATTACAAGTGTGAGCCACTGAGCCCGGCCGAGAGTCTTAATATATTAGGAGGCAATATAGTATTCATGCCAGAATAGACTGTTTGAGTTCAAATCCTATTCTACCCTTACCAGCTTAGTGGTATTGGGAAAATTTTATACCTCTCTGTGCTTCATTTCCTATTGTGTAAAACAGGGATGATACTATCCTATAGGGCTTTATGAGATTACATGTCATACACACACACACACTCACACACACAAAGATTTAGAACAGTGTCCTGTATATAGGACATATCATAAAATGTTTCTGTATAATATGGTAAAAAAGTAAATATAATTTAAAATTTATGTCTTTCACAGTCTATTTTTATAAGAAATATATAAATGGCAAATAAAAGCCTAAATAAAAACTAAGCAATTTCCAGGGTTTGTCAGTTTTGTGTAAATTCAATTCAGCTTCTTGTATTCTCCTTTTTTGCTCACTGTTCTGCAGTACACACACACACACACACACACACACACGATACTTACTGTATCTAATATTTGCATTTAAAGCCTTAATAGTACTCCATTTCTCAAAATAAATGTCTAAGTAAAAACAAAGAGATAGAACTGTTTTAAGATAAAATTTAGGCAAATTTTTATTTCACTACATTATAGAGCTCGGAAGACCAGCAATCCATACATGCTATATGCGTTAACCCTTACTGAATCATACTATTCATTTGAGCAGTTTTTCACTCTGGAAGCATTTTATACAAGCACTTTATTACTTGTGTTTGGGGGTTGGGCAGGGGTTGTTAGACATCACAGAAACCACTAAAGAGTGGTAAGGTTAAGTGTTCTTAATCTGGGGAAAATGTAGGACATAAAATCTTATTTTAATATTTAGGAAATGCGTTACCCTATGGCTTCCAGGATCATAACTGCACATTAATGGGCTCCAAGTGTCCCTCCCTTCCTTCCTTCCTTCCTTCCTTCCTTCCCTTTCTCCCTCCCTCCCTCCTTTCCTTCCTTCCCTCCCTCCCTCCTTCCTTCCTTCCCTCCCTCGCTTCTTCCTTCCTTCCTTCCCTCCCTTCCTTCTTCCTTCCTTCCTTCCTTCCCTCCCTCCCTCCTTCCTTCCTTCCTTCTTTCCTTCCTTCCTTTGTCTTTTTTTTCCTTCCGTCTATTAAATCTACCCTATTTCTAAGAACAAAACTGAATTTAAAGGCTTTAAAGGGTAAAAATTTAACAGTAATTACCTTTCTGGAATTATTATACATATTTTTAAGTTGTCTTTTGAAAAACTTCTAGCAATTGGAATAGTATCAGGGCATGATCTTATTTGAAATACAAAGCCAATCTCTGACCAAGGTTAGGTCTTCTTGTATTCCCATTGACCCATACAGCCAAAAAGCATTTAATATGGGAGAAGGTCAGCTGTTACATTTGAGTAAAAATTTTCCAGTTACTAATTACAAAATGGGAGAACTTAGTTTTTGCTTTTCTCCTCTCCTCTTTTTATCTCTGTCTCTCTTATAACTTTTATAGAATTCATTTTCATGACAATATTTTCCTAGTGAACATTTTATGGATTGGAACATATGTTTTTTGATTTTTATTTTTTAGTTATTTTGTATCCAGTTATAACCCTGTATATGAGTGTTTCACAAAATGTAAAGGGGAAAAAAGTCAAAACCAAAAAGTAAGAAGATTAATAGAAAGCGTGAATATATAAAATATATTTAAAAGTTATAGATGTAGACCGAATGATTTACAGAAAATTCTGCACTAAAACAAGAAACACATACAGAAATATTCCCTTGCAAATGGGCACATCTAATAAAAGTTAAATAATATCTAAAGAGAGACCAGTGGGAGTTGTTTTTCATAGGAAATACTATGAGTTAATTTGTTTAAGTGTAAATGACTGATGTGTCCAAACCTGTTAACACTTGCAAAATAGAGTCCAAAACTATTTTCAACATTTGGAATTATTCCACTTTTTCAGAGCTTGTTCTTTAGGAATATTTATATAAGAGCCACAAATATTCATATAAAGAAACAAAGGACTTAAAACTTCATATTCTATATGTAAATCTCTGTGAGTAATGGCATTAAGCCTGGCTCACTTGGTACAGGTTACATAATACTGGGTGAGGAATGATTAAATGTAATCACCCCTTGGACTGTCTTGCCCCAGTGCATAGCATTACACTGTAGTGATGAAGACCTCATTCTGCCCTATGAGAATGAAGGAAGTCTGTTTTCATCTTGAGCCCCATTTGTTAAACGCAAATGTATTCAGAGTGTTTATATTTTGGGTAGAATTAATCAACAAGCACTTAATAGTAAGTAGCAAGTGAAGCACATTGAGGAGCAAGAAAGGCCATTGTGTTTTTAGAAGATGTTGAAAAGGACCAAGGCTTCCCTAGGACACTATGGATAGAGGTTTCACTTAAAAGAAACTTTGTACTCATGCATAAGCAAATGAGAAGAATTTTCTGCTGACAGTAACATAGCAGGAGTCTCTGAAACACATAATTGTCATACATATAAGGAAATTAGCACAGGAGGTAGGTAAGTTTTAGGAGATCTGAAGACAGAGAAAGCAGATAAATTTAGGCTCAATCAGAACAGAAGCTGATACTCTCTTAGTCAATGTGACTTTACAAACTTACCAGTTCTTTAGGTTTAACTTTAAAAAGGGTTTAAAAGAGTTTCTCAGCCTTCTCACTATTGACATTTTGAACTAGATAATTCTTTGCTGTGGGGGAATTGGACCACACATTGTAGGTTAGATAGCAGCATCTCAGACTTCTACCTACTAAATGTCAGTGGCATCCCCACCCTAGTGGTGACAACCAAAAATGTCTCCAGACACTGGTAAATGTCCCCTGGGGAGTATGAACACCCTCAGTATGAACCACTGGAAGGAACTTGACTTTAGTATCAAAATTTCACACACATATTTTCATAGAGGTAGCTATTTAAAATTAATTTTAACTAAGAATTAAGAACTTCTCAAATACCAGTTCTCAGAGAATTAGTTGGCACTGATAAAATTTTCATTGAAATGGGATAAAATCAGAAAAATTAAGACAACTCGTGACATTTTAAGATAGCTATAATAATTTTTTATTTGAATTTTAAAAGGTTATCATTTCATATGAAAAAAAAGTCCTTTCTTTAATGACCTGGTGTTAATAATACAGTGTTATTTCAGATTCTTTAAGTAAAATAAGCAGTTTATTGATACGGTTTGGTTTTGTGTCCTTGTCCAAATCTCATGTCGAATTGGAGGAAGGGCCTGGTAGGAGGCATTTGGATCATGGGGTGTTATTTCTCCCTTGCAGTTCTCATGATAGTGAGTGAGTTCTCATGAGATCGGATGGTTTAAAAGTGTGGCACTTCCCCTTAACCTTCTGCCATAATTGTAAGTTTCATGAGGTCTCCCATTCATGCATACTGTCAAGCCTGCAGAACTGTGAGTCAATTAAACCTCTTTTCCTCATAAGTTACCCAGTCTCAGGTAGTTCTTTATAGTAGAGTAAAAATGGACTAATACAGTAGTCATTAGTTGGGAGCCCATAACATCTCAAGTTAATACATAATAAGTTTATAGCTCATAGTGTGGCTTCACTCATTCTCAAAAAATATTTTTCTGTTTTCATAGAGTCCCAAATTAATAATACTTGAAGTAGGTGATTTATGTCTGATATTCAAAGTAGTAAAACAGGGCCAGGTGCAATGGCTCACACCTGTTATCCCACCACTTTTAGGAGGCCAAGGCAGGAAGAGAGCATGGCTTGAAGCCAGGAGTTTATGATCAAAGTAGTAAAACTCAGGTAAGCTGCACTATTTTAATTGGTTTTATGTGTGTGTCACAGAGTGAAACAGAGAATCAGAAAATTACTTGCAATGCTGAGGCAGTTTGTCAGAAATCATTCACTGGGTAATTCAAGAAAATAACCTATTTTTTACCTAAATTATCTAAATCCACTTGTGTAAATAGAGCCACAGAATATCTGGTTTTCATACTAACATAATTATGTTTTTACTTTTTCTTTTCATTTAAAATAACTCATAAATGTTTACATTAAAAATCTGTACCATTTTCCTTGTGTCTCTTGAAGGAAGACTATAATTTTCCAGCTATGATGAATATATTTGTTTATTAAAATAATTTTAGGAATCACTTCCAAAGTGTTTGATATGTCTAGGTTTTTCCAATGTCTGCAGCAGCCATATAGCCATATATACACACACACACACACACATATATACACACACATATACACAGAGACATACATATATGTATATTCAATATATATTCATTATTTTATTATGCAATAGCTCCAGAATGTAGCTTTAAGGAAAACATGTGGTTATGTTAGTGTTAGAGATGACTTTGGAATTTACTTATTCTTACTACCATATAGAAAAGTAGAATCTATTGAGACAAATTGTCTCAAGCACTTAGACATGAATGGTTAGATATATTGCATTTGTACCCAGAAAATCCTTCTTATTTAATGATACCAGAGGAATTGTAATCCTCAAAGATCACCAAAAATGCAGTATACTTTCAGCAAAAGTTAATTAATTCATCCAAGATCTAGCAGATAGTTAAAAAATACTTTCTTTAAGTGAAGACATGTGGCTTAGAGCTGTTCATTTAGTAATATTGCCATTCATTGGAAATGTTTAAAACCAGAGATACATTTGTATTATTCTTATTAAGTTGGTCATCATGTATAGCTCGACCTGAGTCATAGATATGCTAATCTCATGATGTGATAAGTGGCATCAACACGACCTTTCTTTAAATATTATTGAACATTCCCAAAGATAAAATGAAACAGACTGTAGTATTTAGTTCTCATTACCAGCTACAGCTTTTAAAGTGAAATCTCTTTCTTAATGTCCTCTTTTACTTTAATGTTAGAGGACATCAGGGTCAGCTTCTACTATTTATATAAAGCAGGAATTCAAATAGCTAACTCACAGAGAAAATGTGATTTCACTTTCTTTCAAAGACTCAATGCAAATTCCATTTGGATTCCTGAGAGACCTTGAGGTTCACTTCACATTTCACTTGAAATGCAGTGTGTAGTGTGGTTGAAACACATGAGAAAAACCTCTGAATGCCTGAACTGCTCCCCAAGATCAAATGAAGCACTTAAAGAGGTCAGAAAGGTATTGTCATCTTCTACAGTGAAGCTGAGACCTACCATATTTGGGCAGGGTATACCGGTGACTTAAAACTGACTAGCAGCTATGAGAACAGGGTCATATCAGTAGAAAGAACTGGAAACAGATTTTGATAAGAAAAAAAGTTAAGCACAAACTATGAGCAAGATTATAGTGACTTGGGGGTCAGGAAAAACACCCACTTTTAAGTTAACCAGGTAACTCCTTAGACACTTTTAAAAATAGGACAATGGGGGAGCTAATATTCAGGGAAGTTTTTATTTATAAGTATTTTAGTGGCATCAAATAGTTAACATAATTGTTAATGGTTTTCTTGATCTCAGGAAAAATCTGGATGGGCATAATAGATGCATATAGAAGATGATGCATTTAATAAAGATAAGCAAAAAAAAAAAAAAACCCAAAACAATAAAAACCCTCTTTCTTGGACACAATACAATTGTCTTTAATTAAAGCAAGTCCACGTAGCTTTGAGACCTGGGTTGGTTTTAAAACCTGATCTTAGGCATCACAATATAAAAATGGTAAATTAAATTTTAAACCTTTGAATATAACAGTTAGTGGTGAAAAATTAGGAAAGCTAAAATATTCATTTATGAACTAAAGGGACTTCCAGACCTTGTCATTTTAAAACACTTCAACTGAATTATTTTCAAAGTTCCAGGAAGAAATGGAAATCTGCACTAAAAAAATGAAATGTAAGCCACAGAAACATCTGATATAGAACCATGAATAAAAGTGCTGATTTTTAATTGTCTTTAAAGGTATTCTAGGCCTCTGGTCTTACATTAGATTATTGCTCATTATTTATATCTGCTCTGAACCTATACAATATTATCAAAGAAATTGTTAAAACCAGTGTGATAATCCTAGGACATGAAGAAATTTTAGAAATTTCATATGCAATACAACAGTACAAACAAGCAAGAGGGTTGTGTGTGTGTGTGTGCACGCGTGCATGTGCGTGTGTGTATGTTGTATTATCATGTGATATTGAAGCAATACATTTCAGTACGCATCTCAGTTTGCCTATTTCTGAAAACCACTTTGTGATTACTTTGTCACTTAATGTCTTTTATATCGACAGAACTCATGAAATACAATGTAAAAATATCCCAAAGCACTGCATTTTCTTCCAGACAGACAAAGTTATTAGAACACGTGATAAACGGAAAAATCTTACATTGCTAAACCCCAGCTTTTTAGCCTGGACTTTAATATCATTTGCTAACCAGTCTTCCCTGCCTTACCAGCTTCATTTTCATTATTTTCACTAACTAAATATGTTGGGTGTGCCTTTAAAGAACTTTATGATGCTTTCCTCCACATATAAGCCACTGCCAGCCATGCCCCTGCCCCCTGCCCCCTGCCCCCCATGCTCCTCTCCATCTGTGTGGACACAGAGCACTCTATCTTTACAAAATCTGGTTCAGAACTCTCTTCTGTTGAAGGCCTCCCATGATCAAGTTTTCCCATTGTGGCTGCTACTTCAAAACAATTAGAAATTTCAAAAACAATTCAGTAAATCTGCTGCTTTTCTACATATTCCTACCATTTAATCCAGCTTTTTAAATGTTAGAATAACCTGCAGACATTGTGGGAGACACATGTAAAAAGCAACCTACAGAAAATGATAAGACCATTCAATTACTTGGGGTTTATTAATTCTGACTTGGAATAATTGGAACAAAGGAATACACACTCAAGAGGGATTCAAATTGTTCTGTGCTTGAAAAAGTCCTAAAGCACAAAGGTCACACTGATGCCTTCTATTAGGTCCATATCTTTTGTTCTCTTCACGTAGCTTAAGTCAAAGTTATGATGTAACTTGTGTTATTTTAAGCCATCTTAAAAGTGTGCAGTTTCATTTTATAATGATCTAAATAAGCATTCTGCTTCAGAAATGGTTGATCTTTGCATATGGGAACACATGCAAAAGATACTACATTGGTAGTATCTTTGCATATGGGAAGGCATCCAAAAATGGCCCTTAAATGACATTATCTGACTAGAGATTTTAATTTTTTTATTTTATATAAATTGTTCAAGTTTAAAACCTTTAATATTATCTTCTATATAGATAGCCAACCATGAAGATTTGAATGCTCTATGAGAAAATAAACACATTTGGTAGAATAATGAAAGCCGACTTCTGATAACTACAATTGTAAACACGGTATGACATATAGCTTTCAACAGCAGCTGAATAATTCAATCTTTCATCCTCTGGGTGCCAATTTAATTTGGATACAGATATCTAAATGCTAAATATTAATTAGCATTTGTGTGTTAGTCTGTTTGAACCAAATCAGAAAGTAGTTTGGCTTAATATAACATCACTACAAGCACCTTTCTCAATAAAACAGGAGCAACTGATAAGTGAAAAGCTTTGGAAAGAAGAAACTACATCTTTAATCATTTCAATTATTACAAGTCAGAGCATAAGAGAGCCATCAATTTGGAAGTTTAATCAAAATGCACCAATTAAATTTCCTGCCAGAATAGAATAAGAGTGTGCATGGAGAAGGTGTTGTACAGACCCTCTGATCAGACCTACCTGAGACTCATTCTCAACTTTTCTCCTTCCCTCTGCCTCATGTCCAGTTGTCCACCAAAGTCTGTTGGTTTCGGTCATAGTAGACACCTCTCTAACCTGTCCACCTCTCTTCACCTTGCCTCCACTGTGCAAACAGCTGACTGTCTGCCTTCCTGGATTCCTGTAAGAGCATCAGTACAGTTTCCAGCCTGCAGTCAATCACTCTAGTTCAATTTCCCCATCACTACCTTAAGGTTATATTTTTAAAAACAATAATTCCTTGTACTTTTCTCTGATTTAAATAATTTTTACAGCTTTCTATAACTGTTAGGAAAAAGTACAAACTCCCTAGCAAAGCAAACACAGGTCTTACGATTCTTACATCTCTAGTTCTCATGAGTTTTGCATCTTGGGGCAGCTCACTCCTCTACTGCTGAACTTGGGCTGCCCACTCCTATCCCCCTGAACTTAGGCTGTCACACCCTCTCTTTCCCTGAACCTAGGCTGCTCACCTACTAGCCCCTGAACGTAGGTTTCCCACCCTATATCCCCCCGAACCCAGGCTGCCCACCCCACTCCCTAGATCCTGGGCTCCCCACCCATCTCCCACTGAACCTATGCTATCTATCCCTCTCTTTCCCTGAACCTTGGCCTCTCGCCCCTCTCCCCCTGAACCTAAGCTGCCCAACCCCATATCCCCCTGAACCTAGGCTGCCCAACCACTCTATCTATGAACAAAGTTTGCCCAAACCCTATCCCTTGAACCTAGGCTGTCTATCTCCTCCTTAAACTGAGGCTGCACATTCCTCTCTTCCCCTGAACCCAGGCTACATGACTCTCCTGAATCTAAGATGCCCACTACCTCCCCTCTGGAACCTAGAAAACACACCCATCTACCACTGAACCTAGAATGCCCACCCCATCCCTTTCCCTAGGCTGCCCAACCCTCTCCCGCTGAACCAAGGCTGGCTACCTCAATTCCCTGGACGCAGGCTGCCCACCTCTCTCTCCCTTAGCCTGTTTTGCCCACCCTTCTCTCCATGAACCTAGGCTGCCCATCCTTGTACCCCTGAACGTAGGCTTCCAGTCCCCTCTATCTCTGAACTTAGGGTGCCCACCCCGCTCTTCCTTGAACCAAGGCTATCCTCCTCAGTCCACTGAAACTAGGCTGCCCACCCCTCCTCCACTGAACCTAGGCTGTTCACCCTTCCACCCCTGAATGTCGGCTTCCTACTCCCTCTCCTCCTGAACCTAGGCTGTCTACTGCTCTACCCCTGAATCTCGGCTGCCCACCCCTCTCCACCAAACATTGGCTCCTTTCTCAACAAGGTAAGTGCTCTAACACCACCTTCTGTACCATTACACAAACTCCTTGTTCTTTTTTGAAAACGTTCTCCCCCTTCCCTCCCCCAGTCACCCACCTAACATTTAATCGTCCAATGTCTTCACAAACCAATTCAGGTATCATTTCTTGTGAGTGACCTCCCTGGGTCCCCTAGTCTGATTGGTTCTGCCTTCTATGTACTTTTTTGCTTATTAACTGTAACCGTCTCTTTACGTTCCTGTTTTCATCACTAACTGTAACTTCTTAAGGGAAGGATCTGTGTTTATTAATATGTATGTCCTCAGTGCCCAGCCAGTAACTTGCACACAAAATCTTTTTCACACATGTTGCTTACAATTATTATCAAAAAATCAAATCTCCAAAGTCTTTTTGGATAACTTTCTGTGTGCAGAGGTAGGTACAGGTTTGGAATAGGGTGGGGACGGGGTTGGAAGATGAATAAAACTTGAGTCTCAATTTCTAAGAAATTTACAGTCTATTTGGTGAAAGACATAAACTCATGAAAAGTTAATTAGAACGTTACTTCAAATCAACAATTTAATAAGAATATGGGGTCAGTTTACTGTTTCTATCTTTCCCCAAAATAGACAATGGAAATGATCTGAACACTAGATGTTTCTGGTACTCCTTTAGGCAAGACATTGACCTTGAAGAAGGGTAAAGAGAATAGGACAGATGACTCAAGCCTGTGAAGATCATGACAAAATTTAAATAGGTTAAAAGGAGGCTATTTGTTTTTAAGAGATACTGGAGAATCTTTGCTAACAAAGGTGAAGAAGTCTCTGGAGGCCAAGACTGAAGAAGCTGGAGAGAAAAGGTTTAACTGTTGAAATCTCTGATGAAGCTTAAAAAATGGAAATCTAGGGCTCAGGAAGAGGGGCCACATTTGCAGACTGCTTATAGAGAAACAGGCTTTGGAGGAACTTAAACAGATGGCTCATTCAAACATTATTTTCCAACTTTATAATTAAAAGTTATTTTTATACATTTTTTTAATCATGTCAAAAATACTCCAAACATTTAACATGATTTTTATTTAAAATTAATAGACTATATGGAAGGTTAATTTTTATTTATTTACTTTTTAACTTTTATTTTAAGTTCAGGAGTACAAAGTCAGGTCTGTTAATTAGGTAAATTTGTATCATGGGGGTTTCTTGTATTCTATACATCACCCAGATATTAAGCCTAGTACCTACTGTTGTTTTTCTTAATCCTTTCCCTCCTCCCACCCGCCAGCCTCCAAAAGACCCCGGTATGTGTTGTTTCCTTCTATGTATTCATGTGTTCTAATCCTTTAGCTCCCACTTAGAAGTGAGAACCTGTGGTATTTGGTTTTCTGTTCCTGTGTTAGTTTGCTCAGGATAATGGCCTCCAGCTCCATCCATGTCCCTGCAAAGAACATGATCTCATTCTTTTTTATGGCTGCATAGTATTCCATGGTGTATATGTACCACATTTTCTTTATCCAGTCTATCACTGATGGGCACTTTGGCTGATTCCATGTCTTTGCTATTGTGAAAAGTGCTGTAATGAACAAACTCATGCATGTGTTTTTATAATAAAATGATTTATATTACCTTGGGTATATATCCAGTAATAGAATTGCTGAGTCAAATGGTATTTCTGTGTTTAGGTCTTTGAGGAATTGCCACACTGTCTTCCACAATGGCTGAACGAATTTACACTCCCATCAACAGTGTATAAGCATTCCTTTTTGTCCACAACCTCGCTAGGATCTGTTATTTCTTGACTTTTTAGTAATAGCCATTCTGACTGATGTTAGATGGTGTCTCACGTGGTTTTGATTTACATTTCTCTAAAGATCAATGGTGTTGAACCTTTTTTCATATGATTATTGGCTGCATGTATGTCTTTTTAGAAGTGTCTGTTCATTTTGGAAGGCATTTTTAAATATACTTTTATGCCTGAAATTAAACCATTAATTTAATCAAATTTCAGGAAAGTTTCTTCTTTCTAATAGTGAGAATATGGGCAATATGTTTATAGCACTGTAAAGCTTATTTCCCCTATAGCATTAACTGTGATTGGGGCAACCATTAGGCATTGCATGATGGTTGCAATCAATCCAAACAATCCAAACGATCAAGATATTATTTCTTTTGCTGAATAGGTAAGTTGTTAATTAACCTTTCATAGCTAATTAGCTCAGGTATAGCCCTTTGCTAATGAAAACCATGATCTTTATTTGACTTTGTGGCCGCATATCTAACATTTCCCCTACAGATTACAAGTCCTATACCTTGTTCACTATTTGTGTCCCCAGTACCAACATTTTGGGTACCCAATGAATGGTTCTTGAATAAATATATGCATGAAAGAATCAAATAATAAATGAATAAATGAGTGTGTGAAAAAGTGAATGAGTAAATGGCTATGTCCTCATCCACTATGGTTGTTATTTATTTGATTAGTCTGGGAAAATTCATTACATATACTGGAAAGCAAGGCCATAGTGCACTTTCAGCCAAAGGATAGCCTGTCCAATGACATCACTCATCATTTTGGTATGCACAGGACATTATTACAGTCAAATTTACTGCAGCCAAGTTTCCAAACAGGCTCAACAACAGACAAGGTCCCAGAGATACTAAAGAAGGCGATGACCTCATAGTCCAGGCACTTTCTTGGAGATGAGGTATTGAATAACCCACATAACTGAAATACATGTAATATTAAGGTTACACACTCAGTTTAGCTATTTGATTTGCACCTAGGTAATAGAAGTTTAGAAAATGAAAAGCAGAGAAGGCTACTTGAATAATGATTCTCAAATTTAATGTGTTATAACCACTTGGAAAGTTTACCTTGCTAAAAAACAAAATAAAATAGAAAAACAAAAATGCACACAGTACTTACATAGCTCCAAGAGGTTGTTATTCTAAGTTGGGGGCAAAAATTTGAATTTTCAACAAGTTCCCCTATATCAATGGTTCTCAACCTGGGGTGATTTTGCCTCTCCCCACCCTCACGAACATTTGGTAATATCTGGAGACATGTTTGGCCATCACAACTAAGAGGGTCAGGAGAGTTACTGGCATCCAGTGGGTGGAAGCCAGGTATGCTGCTTAACACCCTGCAGTGTCAAGATTGAGAGATGCTCCTACTTGGTAGAGAAAGAACCAGAGCTCTAGGGCAGCAGCATTATCTCAGCCTGGACCATGCTCACAGTACAGGAGGTGAAGTACATCCTACAAAGATAAATTAAATAAGTAGAATTGTAAAGTGGTTATAAAAGAGATAAGCTCACTTAACTGGAAATTCCTTTATCAGCAATAAGTTTTTATTTTTTTATTTTCCAGTGATGCTGGATAATGAGATATATTAGTGAATCAATAATTTACTTAACCCTAACAATAGAGGCTAAGAAGTGTCCATGTATTTCTAGGTATCCTGCAAGGGAAAGATTAGCTCAGAAAAAAATTATATAAATATTCACTCATTCAAAAATTTTCCCTTTAATATACAATTTATGAGCACCTAATTGACATTCATCATGAAAACATCTGAAATAGTACTCTTTCTTTATAAAGTCAATAATTATGCCTGTGTTCAAAGTAGGTCTCAATATATATCTCATGTTAATATTTCTGACAAGTTTAACAAGTTTAATTATAGTTTGAACTGATTTCTGTCCTGCAGACACATTGCAATACAATTCATTAGAAAATACTGCTGTCTACTTCCAATAATAGTAGAAACCTGTAAATGACTTTACTGAGCATTTTAAATATCAGAAAGCAATGCAGTACTTCCTCTGTGGAGATTCAAAGAACTTCCACTAATTAACCCTTTGTCTTCTTAAATTAAATTATCATTCTTCAGTATTTCAAGACAACTGCAAACCTCCTTTTCTAAACCTGTAATATCAACACACAAGAATTGCTTCTTTCACTAACTATGGCTGATTTACCATTTAGCAGAACAAATTAAGAACTTAGTAGTAATTATGAAAATAATTTCCTTCTTTTATTGAAATACTTTGCAGGCACTGCAGCTTAGCACATTATTATTCTAGGTGGCGTAGGTGTTGTTGAAAGGCAGTGTGAAAATAAGAGCCTGAATTATGAATTCCTCCCATGAACACGGAATCACTTTGTATTTTCTGTGGCAAAATAAACTTTTTTCTCTCTTGAAAGAAAAGAAAAAGAGCAAGAACATTTTAACTTTCAGAAACACATAAGATTGGCCGGGCACAGTGGCTCATGCCTGTCATCCCAGCATTTTGGGAGGCCAAGGCAGGCAGATCACCTGAGGTCAGGAATTTTAGACCAGACTGGCCAACATGGTGAAATCCCATCTCTACTAATAATACAAAAAATTAGCCAGGCGTGGTGGCACCTGCCTGTAGTCCCAGCTACTTGGGAGGCTGAGGCAGGAGAATCGCTTGAACCCGGGAGGTAGAAGTTGTAGTGAGCTGAGATTGCACCACTGCACTCCAGCCTGGGTGACAGAGCGAGACTCCATCTCAAAACAAAAACAACAACAACAACAACAAAGAAACACATAAGATTGCTTTATTGTATATATTGAACTAGATTACCTATCAACTCAGAAATTGTGTTTTTTTTAACGTATATTGATACATAAAACTTGACACTTTTTGTATAACATATGTGTCAATAAAGACAAGGAGAAAACCTATTTAAATTTATCATAAAATTAAAAACTTCATTCCATTTCAATTCAGTAAATATTTATTACATAGCTACTCTGCTCTGAGAACTATACAGGTGTTGGAAAAAGTGAAATGGATCATATAGGAAGGATCCAAAGAAATCCATAAAAGGGAGAGACCTCCCTGAGAAAACCAATTCCATTTAAGACAGTCTGTTCAGTTTTGCATGCCTGAAACTATAGAAAATAGATTTTCTTGTCCTTAGTTTTTGAAGCAGACCATACATATTAGTGGCTTGTGATCTGTACTCAGGTCAGGCTGAAAAGATCTATTAACACGGGAAATACATTAAGCTAAGGCATGAAATATCTTTTAATTACAGTAATTACTAAAAGGATGGTTGCTCACCTGTGACGTAGACTCATGGGTAGTCAAGCCTTTCTAAACAAAGGTATTGTATTTCTTTTAGCTGCAATACATGCCAGTTGTCTAAGATATTTTCCAATTCTTTCTACCTATTCTTTTTTCATAAATAATTCTTTTTTGACTTTTCAACTCTCATGGTTCATTTGGGCTGCTATAACAAAGTATCTTACATTGGGTAATTTATAAACAACAGAAATTTATTGGATGGTGGGAAGTCCAAGATCAAGGGACTAGCAGATTCAGTGTTTGGTGAGTGCTTATTCCTCATAGATAGTGCCTTCTATGTTTCTTGATATGTCAGAAGTGATAAGCAAGCTCTTTGGGGTCTTTTATATGAGAGCAAAAATACCATGAGCTCATCACCTCTTAGATGTCCCCCTCCCTCATAACACTGCATTGGGGATTAAGTTTCAACATATGAATTTTGGGGTGACACAAACATTCAGACCATAGCACTAACATCAGTTCAGTATGTCAAAGCTGTTTGGATTATCAGATATTCTTCTATTTTCCATGTGTTTCTAGATTAAGAGAGGTGAATGGTAATGAATTTAGAACAGTAATGTTAAACTTTTTATCTTTTAAATCTCAACTACCGGGTCCTGAGATTTGAAGTTCACAACAATGAAAGAAAATAAATGCAATTCCTTTTGTAGGTACCAGATACCAGAGCAGTCTTGGGTGTTTCTCTGAATTCCAATTTTAGTGTAGGCTCAAGTTAGAACGTGTAAAGGATCTATATGTGTGTATAATTCTGGAAAAGAAGCTGACAGGTTATAGACTTAAGCAAGTAGTACCTTGTTGGACAGAATTCTGAGACTACATGGTACTTTATTACAATTACGTTTCTAACAAAAAAGCCTAAGCCTCTTTGACTCAGCACACAGATATCCACACACAGCAATTCCTGGCGTGAAAAGGTTAAAAATGCTATGTCATTCTCCCCCTTTAAAATATGTATTCATCTTTTGAAACTGTTCACTATTGCCACAAGAAGATACACATTAAACTAATAATACCACATTGGACTCTATATCTCATACCCTAAACCATAATGATATATGTCTAATCAATAACCAATGTTATTTCTTTAAATAAATAAAAATTTCTGACAAACAAACAAAAATGCACTTTTTAGAAATCTTTCTTCATTGCCACTCCTATTTCCCTCTTCCTGTTCTCCAAAAGACCCAACCAAACCAAAAAAAATTTGGCACTAACTTTCAAACCTTTGGCTGTATTCTCAAACACAGTATCATAAAACCTAGTAAACATAATCTCACTGCTAAAGATTATAATGACAAAGTAAAGTATTAGTGGCAGGAAATAGTGCCATCTACTTTGAGTTAGCCCACAAAGTACATCACATTTCGGACTACTGCTAGCTTACTACACTAGTGAAAATTCAGGGCAGTGAAATTTGCCTAATTCTTGCCAATGCCCAGTTCTACTAAGAGTATCAAAAAACATCTGAACAACACCAGTTCATACTGAAAAACAACCACTTGTACAAAGTAGAGAGAGTGGGCAAACAGCTTTCTATATACTATATAGTGGCAATATTGTGCTTTATTATTATATTGAAGATACTAATATCTTCTAAAATGTAAATTTCCAAATTACTTTTTTATAGACCATGTTTATGTATATTTTTAAATGCCATCTTTAGTTTTCATTCTTTGCAAAATATATTGTCTGCAATAAAATCTCAATTTGACTCCAAATATAAATTTTAAAATATTATTGCTTGATTTACAACCCTCAAGTATAATTACTTATGTCCATTATATCAAATGAAAATCATTAAACAGAAGGTTTCTTTTTTTAATCAAAATCATTATTGATACATGCATTTTTATTCTATTACTTTTCCTCAATGGTCTCCAAAGTTGGATTAATAACCTGTATATTTATTACCAAACCTTAAAATAATTTTCTTTAAATTTATCTTATCTTTACCGATGTTCATTCAAATCTATATTTTAAATAATTAGATAAATATATTAGTAAGAATTTTAGGAGATATTTGAAAATTCATAATAGATTGCTTGTTAATAATGTCTAAAACAGTCAATGTTAGGTACCTTTAATTACTGAGGAACACCAAACCTGCAAAATGGTTATTAACTATAGTACAAGTGAGCAATTCTGAATTGGGGGTTTAAAATAAGAAAAGGAAATATCAAATTAAATATTAAGGAAAATGTCCAGTCTTTTGTTTATAAAAGCTAAAATAGAAAAAAAAAATTAGTCTGAGTCATTCAAATGACTGGAAAAATACAGTGCTAAAATTACCTAATATAAATTCTCAGCAATATAAAGTCTTTTCAAAATAGAACCACAGACATTAGAAAATTAAGAGAGGTTACCCAGGGGCCTATCCTTACCAGCCAGCTCTGTGTTGCTCTTATTAATACTATACCCATTAATATATTAATAACATAATTTTACTTTAAAATTCTTGTGTAAAGGTCTCCTGAAATCATCCCAGAGTCCCTGAGAACAGTCTAAATTGGTGAGAAATATGGGATGAATTCCAAGTTTTGCTATTATTGATTTTTAGAGCACTTTGTTTAAGTAAATACTTTCAAAACCGACTTCAATGACTTTCTGAGAATAAGGAGAAATGGATGAGGCAAAGTGTACATTTCACACAGTAGAGACACTGATGAGAGCTTCCTATGACACGTAGGAATCTTCTGGTTGGCATCTTTCGCAATATTTTCACCGAGGGTATTTTTTTTCCTTTACACTCTGGAAATTCTTCCCAAAGTATATGATACCTTTAAAAAATAACTTTTCAAGATACCTAAGACCCATTTTTCAAACAAGAGAATAGGAATAACTATCCTTCCTTGGTAGATTCTTTCACAAGCCACTCATGCATACCAAACAACTTCCAAACAACTCATGCATACCCCAAACCTTTATTGAGCACCTCCCATACTTTAGTCACTGGACCAAGCATTGTTAGAGAACTTTTTTGTTGATTCTTATCATTCACCTCCATGCCATAGGCAATATTATGCCCATTTTGATGTTTTCAGTAATCTGGAGCTTAGAGTGATGAGATATATTGCAATTATTTTTATTATCATACTTTATTTCATATTACTAATTAAAAATTTGATGCAAATTTTCAATTTCATAACCTCAAATAGATAGAAAATGTTTACTGACAAACTGAAAGCCCCTATCTCCTATAAGATTTTCAGTAAACTATAGAGAGGAATTTTGAAAAATATTATTTATTTTAAAATTGTTGTCTTTCCAGATCATTATTCATATGCTAAATAATAGACTATAGGAAATAGTAATCTAGATATCACTGGCAATGTTTTGGATTTAGAAATACCTATGAACAAAGCCAGTTTTCATTTCTGAATTTTATTACCATGCTAGAAAATTAATATCAGAGAGTAGATTCTACACATTTGGTAGTTTGCTTTGTTTTGTTTTAACACACATGGCTCCTTGGTTTTTCTTTCTTTTGTAATAAATAAAGATCTCTTTGGCCAGAATTCTTAGCTATCTTAATTTCAGAAAATATTTAGTTTTCATGTCATAGTTTATATCTACCTCTTCTCAAGCATTATATAATTTAACTGGATAGTTGGGATAACAATCACCGTGGGGCCAGAGGGAAAAGCAGACAGCAGACAAAAGATGAAAGATCAAACACTAGAGGAAAGCTAGCTGAAATGGACAGAGAACTCAATGACCAAAAGTAACAGTTAATTAAGACCAGGCATAGTGGCTCATGCCTGTAATCCCAGCACTTTGGGAGGCCGAGGTGGGTGAATCACTTGAGGTCAGGTCTTTGAGACCAGACTGGCCAACATGGTGAAACTGCGTCTATACTAAAAATGCAAAAATTAGCTGGGTGTCGTGGCATGTACCTGTAATCTCAGCTAATCAGGAGGCTGAGGCAGGAGAATCGCTGGAACCTGGAAGGCAGAGATTGCAGTGAGCCGAGATCGTGCCACTGCACTCCAGCCTTGGTGACAGAGCGAGACTCTGTCTCAAAAAAAAAAAAAAAAAAAAAGTAACAGTTAATTAGGTGGCTCATGAAAGCTGGAGATGGATCCTGGATCCTTTACACATTTTCGATGCTTGCTAAGTAAACATTAATTGTAAAAATGAATGGTGGAATCTTGGAGTAAGTCAGTCAAAGGAATATGAAAAAGTCAATTGAATTAAATGGCATTACTTATTCTCATCTTGATCTATCCACCCATGAAATTCTTACCCTTTAACACATTACATAATTTGTATATCTATCATGTTTATATCCTTCTCATCCCCCAGCCCCTCCCACATCTAAGTCTCATAAAAAAGTTATTTTTGTTTATTCACTGATATATGTGCCAGACACCTTAAACAGCAGAACAAATAATAGGTTCTCAAGAAACATTTGTCAAATGAATGAACACATTACTGATAACTAGTTGCAAATCTCTTCAGTAAACAAAGTATAATTTACAAAAATGAATGTGACACACTTCTAGTCCTCAAATACTTTAGTCTAAAAAGAAATATCAAATTGCTACAAAATAAAGCGGAAAATATAAGGATTATAAAAGATATATACACAAAGCTTTTTAGGGCAGCACTCTCTACAGGCATGCTGTGAGATGTGAGATGTATTACTCAAGAACTATACATATGAGGAGATATGGATTTAAATTTCCAATTTCCAGCAATAAGATTTTTTTCAGATCAACTTTCCCATTTGAATATTTCTATAAATTCTGAACTATATGTGGAAAAATGTGACAACGATCCAGCTAGGATTTGCAGCTTGGGTTCACAACACTTGAGTGATGCAGGGAACCTCTAGACTCTATTTAGCTTAAGGGATCCTAGGTTAATGCAATATCAACAAGTAATAAGCAGAGGCAAATACGAATTGTTTTTGGAGGAATGCACTTTTATCCTTGGCCTCAAAGAATTCTCACCAATAGTTTGTTAAGGACAATTAACATGACATAACCTAGCACACTAAGAGATAAAGTACAATGAGTGAGAATTGGAAGAAATAAAAGAGAGCAGAAACAAACCCCAAAAGTTTCAAATATAAGACATGTCAGCCACAGATTACAAAATAACTATGCTTAATACATTAAAAGAAATACAACAGATTACAAAAATATGCATAAAAGAAAAACCTAGAAAGTAATTTACCAGATCAAAAGTAATTAAATGGAAACTCTAGAAATAAAAAATGACGATAACCCAAATTTAAAACTCTATGGATAATTAAATAACTGGTTAGACAAAACTGAAGAGAGAATTAATGAACTGAAAGTAAGTTAAAATAGATAACTGAGAGGGGAAAAAAGTAGAACTATGGAAGAGAGGTTATGAGATGAAAAGGATAGGAAACAATATTATTCGGTATTACAGATGAGAATGAGACAAATTATGGGTGAATCTATATTTCAAAAAGTGAGAGAATTTCCAGAACTAATGGAGATATTGATCCTCTCTAGCCTTGGACATCCTACCCTTACCCTGCTTGCAAATATTTCATTCATTTACTTCAATATGATGTATAATCAATATTTTCTGTGTGCCAAGATATAAAAAGTGCTGGAAAGCACTGTTTGGGGCAGAGGCTGGCAATTTTTTTTTCTATAAAAGACTAAATAGTAAATATTTTAGGAGTTGCAGACATTATGATTTCTGTTGTGACTCAACTTTGCAGTTGTAGTACCAAAGAAGCAATAGACAATACATAAACAAATAAGAATGACTGTGTCTGATAAAATTTTATTTACAAAAACATGCAGCAGTCTGTATTTGTGACACAGGTTGTAGTGTGCAAACCCCAATGTTAGATGGACAAGGTGAGAATTACAATGAAAAATACATGATGCCATTTGATTCCTAATGTTAGACCAGAGAATTTGTGTTGAGGGCATGATGCAGCATTTCTTGAACCTTATAGCTCACGCTAATGGACATAATGGGTTGCTAATAATATTAGAAGCATTTATGTAAACGTTATCAGTTAAAAAAGAATTGCTTATGTGCTAACAAATTTAATAATACACCTTTAAGAAACTAAGCATTTAAGATTTAAAATCATAAAATCTATGATGTAACTTAAAACATTCTAAGATAATTTTTTAAATTTTAAGAAATTAAAAAGAAAAATTTACCTGAAGAAAGCTGAATTATAATGGCTTTATGAGAAAACACACAATTGTGAATATGAAAAAACTTCAAAAAATAATGTATAGTATAAACAGAAAAGCAAAAAGTAAAAGTTTCATTTAGTTTCTCACCAATAAATCTTTAATTGTATTTCTATTTTCTTAGAAAATTAAATTTTTTCTATTGCTTTTTGTAATATTTCTAGAAGAGCAGGGTTGCTTTGCAAACAGAAGCAAACATTTTATCCACAATAAATTTGAAAACCAAGAACCATTCTAAAGTTTGGCATTAGCATCTTTGACTATAATATAAATTTCATTTTTTGGAGATCAGGTAAATTTTACTTTATAAGGACTAGTATTTTGATAATGTAAAGGTCTAGTATTTTCAGTATTTTCAGTGTGAATATAATCAAGGGACAAAAAGCATAACATAGTTTTATAATATTAGAGAATTAATGATTGGACCTGAATGGATAATGGAAAGTTCTATGGAATTTTAACATCTTAGATGCAAATTCCAAAAATTTAACTTATCTGCTTCTGCAGTTCTGCAACATACTGACTACGAATATACCTACTGAGGCAAGGTTACAAGTGTCAGCCAAAATTAGTTATTCTTTTACCCTTCTAACTACAGAAAAGAACAACTACAAGACCTTAGGAACTATCCAGTAAAATGGAACATGCTGGCACCTAGAACATATATTGGACATACAGACTGCACATAACAATGTTAATTTAGAAGACTGAACATCATACGTTTGTCATACAATTGTGATTTCTTACTAAAGTATCGACTGTAATAATGTAATCAGTTACATGTTAACATGTACTAAACAGACCAACCTGTGCTACAAAGGTAACATAACTTCTTGAAGTTAAATAGTTTTCAATTCCTGTCTATGGTTAATTGAATCACCAGGAAATTCTAGAAATAGTTTTCTACTGGAATGATGGCTATACATTGTTAAATATTTTTAATACAGACTTTTTTTTTTCATTGCTGCTCACGAAAAGGCTTCAATTAGGTAATTATGAGTCTGTAGAAGATGTTTCCACATTTCTCTCCAAACAATGAGACCATGATATTGCTGTTTTACGTGGTTACTATTCTTGGTTTATTTCTTAATTGCTTAAATGAAGTCTCCAACAAGACCTCTTTCTTGTTCTTTTTGCTCCTGTATCATACTTATAAGAAGATTATTTTCTGTTCATCTTAGTTTGGTCCCACTCTATCCCAGTTTGAACAGAGCCATATAAAAGAGCTTTATCATTTGGTTATTCCCTGCAGGGAAAGGTTGGCTATCCAATAATAGTAACACTTTGTATAAGTATTTAAAATTTCTAAGAGGAACATATTTTTCTTAAGGCATATAATATTGTGTCTTCCTAATGTATAGATATATCAATCATTCACAGAGCAAAGAAAATGATGTCAACTTCCCTGAAATAAGAAGATGAGGTTGAAGTGTTAGTTTTATATTTGCTAGGAGTTATACTGTGAGGTAAATGAAATTTTGACTTCCAGGATGAATGACAAAGGGAGAGAAAGATATTCTGGTTATGAATAAATAAGGATAATGGAAGCAAAGGAGAGAAATTAGTTCAATTCAATTACTTAACTTTGAGAGAAAACAAGCCAGTGTCAGTCTCAGTCAAGATGTGACTGTTGCTACTCCCAACTCCAATAAATCAATTTGAAATGAAGAAAAAATAGGGAAGTCTAGTCCTTAGAAGCTTTTGTTTTCAACAACAAGATAGGTAAATAAATTACAAATGGATTAACGAAACACTTTCTGAAAACAAACGTAGTCCTTCACAGACTTGAGAGTATTAGATGGATGGTTACAAGATCTGTAGAGAAAGACCACAGGCTAATTTAAGGGAGGGATTATAGGTTTTCCAGGAAATGTAGTCACCACGCATGATCTAATACTCAAAATCCAAATTTAGAGTAGCTCAAAGAATGTGCAAATTACCAATCACTCAAATGATAACTTTGTAAGCCACTTTAAAAGAACATATAACTTCCTCTTTTCCTAGTCGCATACCCTTTATTTCTTTCCCTTGCCTGATTGCCCTGGCCAGAACTTCCAATACTACGTTGAATAGGAGTGGTGAGAGAGGGCATCCTTGTCTTGTGCCAGTTTTCAAAGGGAATGCTTCTAGCTTTTGCCCATTCAGTATGATATTGGCTGTAGGTTTGCCATAAATAGTTCTTATTATTTTGAGATATGTTCCATCAATACTTAGTTTATCCAGAGTTTTTAGCATGAAGGGGTGTTGAATTTTATCGAAGGTCTTTTCTGCATCTATTGAATAAAAAATATTCTCCGATTTACAATAAGCCTATGTCTGAAGTGAGAAAATCACTTTGAATTTATTTCATCTGTCACATACAATGAAGCATTTTCAATATCTTGTTAATTAGTGAGCCAGAACAAAACAAATATGTTTCTAAATTGTCTAAAGATGTTTTGTCTAATGATAGTAAAATAAAATGCCTTTGTTTGAGATAATCTGGGTAATAGATTACCCTTGGAAATAAAATTAATTGTTTATAATGGATCTTACTATTTAACAAGCTGAAACATTCTTCCATCAAATTTCCAATGTTAGCTCTAATAATTGCTAGAAATATTTATCAACTGATAAAATCAAATAGAGATGGGAATAATTCTTAGATAGAAAATGTACCTACGAAACATGCAAACATTCATTCTTTTACCAAAGTAGCCAATAAATATTTATCGAATGTATCTTATATGCAGGTATAGTAGGCACCAACAGTGCAGTGATGAATAAGAAAGACAAAGTATTTCTTTTATGGTGCTTATTTTCTAGTGAGGAAGACAGGTGGTAACCAAACGAAAATAAGAAAAAGGAATGCATGCTGTGAAAGTATCAAACGGGGTTATATAAAGAGAACAACAGGGCAACATTTTGGATTATGTGAGCAGAGATATCCTCAGGGAGAGATGTACAAGGAGATACACAGAAGCACAGTTTAGAGACTAAAATTAATTAGAAATCATGCCAATAGTCATCAATATAGAGAATAGTAAATCAACTTTGATATACCTATACAATGCAGCAGATACGAGGAATGAAATATAGGTAGTGTAAAATAAATTTTCCAAGATATTTGTTGAATTTAAAATTGAGATTGTCAAGTGTTCATACAATATGAAAACATTTATTTAAAAATAGTGTGAATGTCTATGAATGAATACACGTCAATGTATAAATGGATATATGAGATTATGAACAACAAAATGTAAATAGGAATGATCTTAGAGATATGGGTGGATGTGGAGGCCCAAGATGGTGATGATCAGTGGGGCTCTTTACATTAACAGTTCTGCCTTAAAGTTTTACAAGTAAAAAATACTCGTGCATTGCTTTTGTAATTAAAAATCAATTTTTAAAAATTAAAAATAACAGCAACTTGATAAACCAAAATTAAAGCACAACTTCTAATTTGAACTTTATTACTGCAATCTTGAAAATATTTAAGACAGCCGTTTTCTGTATAAAAAGAAGTAGCAGTATCTCTTCACTATTAATTATATTTAGAGGACCTATATTCAAATTCAATATGATTACATCAATAAAACTATTGTGTATATATAAATATAGTCAAAATAGAAGAACAAATGTGAAGAAAGGAAATAAAGTTGCCTTAACCTTCATTGTTTAAAGCTCACCCAGAAAAACACTTTTAATAATGAAACAATCTAGCGAAAACTGTGATGGGAAAGAAGTTCTGTCACAATGGGAAGGTTTTTGATCACTTTTCGGATACATCAAGAAAACATGAACTACACCAATCCCTTGAGATTATCTTCTTTGAAAGACAACTAAACACATTTCCTCTCCCTGGATAGTTTTCTTCAAGGACAACTTAGAAGCTGAATGTTGTAAAGCTGAGACATTCTTCGTGACAGATAAGAGTCATGTCATCAGCAGATGTTAGGGAGGTGTGATTGATTCCTCAGGTGAATGCTAACCTCAGAAACCAATAGTTTGATAAATTCAACTTAACACCTTATACTGTCTATGAAAAGTAGCCAACAGGAGGCACAAAATAAGGAACTATCTCTTGTTGCAGTGTCCCTTTAATAGTCTTAAGGGGCTTTTGGAATAACTAACACTTTCCCCCGTTTAGATCAACAAAGAAGCAGATTCTACCCAGTAAAAAAAAATAATAATAATAAAACTAAGTCAAAGTTGCTTATTATTCACAGAGATATGGAAACTAAAATCAGGAGTTCAAGATAGCACATGTTTCTTGGGCCGAAAACATTCAACTAGATTTTTATAGCATTTTATTTTTCCCTTGGCTATATAACATATTAAGTGCAGCTTAGATTATACCACCAAATTCTTCTCTGGCTATTGGTAGAGAGAGAAAGCTTGCAAAAATTTTACTATCATGGATTTGTCTGTAAAGTTCCAAAAAGAAAAAAATAATAATGACATCAGTAAGGCTATCCAGCTCATGTTATCAACAGGGCAAGTTGGAATTCTCTGTACTTAACTATTGTACTGGACTAGTAGTAAAGGATACCCAGAGTATGAGAACCTATAGCAAAAGAGTATGTTTAATATTAATTGTAATTTAAATTATATCAGCATCCTAGGACTGAGAAAATTGTCCGAGGTTTCAATCTTTTCCTAGAGATTCTAAAAATGCTCCTCTTCTAGACTCTCTGGTGAGAAACAAGTAGCATCACAAAACCTCAGATGTAGATCATATCAGGGGTGAAGAACACCAGGAAAATTCTTAGAATACATACAGTCCAACAATATGGTGCTTCATCTGACAGCATATATAGAGTGGGATTACTTTTGGGATTGATTGATATTTATCTCCCCTCATGCAAAATCAAACCAAGCAAAAAAATAAAAGTTATAAGCTACACAAGTATTTAAAGTATAGGAGTCTAACCAAGACTTAACTACAGATTTTCCTGCTCTTTGAGACATCAAAATCTCAGGATTATCAATAAAATAAAGGTGATTTTGATTAGATATATTGCAATTACTTCTACAAACAAAAAAATAACATGGAAGAATTACTCATACTTATTTAGTGCAATTATTTTTTCTGCCTGAATTCAAAAATATACAAATAAAAAATTAAATGTCACTCAATGTTTTTATCACAAAACAATTTGGAGGGACCATATAAATATTGCATTACTCTGATAATAGATTCAAGGTCATGTGAGTAATATATTGGCTAAATGACCATAGATCTTGCTATTTTATTCTGCAATGCTAAGCTGAATTACTAGGACAAGATGTTAAGATGGCATTCGAGCTTCTATCAATTCTAAAATATCAGAGCTTTTAAAAATTCCTCATGGAATTCACATTGCAATGTGCCTTACACAGTAGGTAATGCAATACTATCTTGAGATGTAACCTGATGGCATCATTACACACAAACACATTCATCATGCTGTCCTGAAGATTCAAAAAGAGGATTTTTTTTTCTCTGAATGCAACATCCCACTGACTTATATTCCTGTTAACTAGCAGGCAGCTGAACTAACTTAATGTGCTTTGAAAATTTAGCCCAAAGTAATGTAGGAAAACATCTGTCACTTACGTTTTGGAGTCATCCCACAATACACAATAGGGATTCAAAGTACCCTAAAAAAAAAGCAGAGAAAGAATGCATATATCTTGAGTACATATATAAAAAGATTGAGGGATTATGTGAAATAGAAACAGAATGGAAGATTTCTTATCTTGTGGTAAGAAATACTTTAATGATTTCTTTTTAATTATTTATAAGAAATTTGCATTTCGTTTCTCATAGATTTAGTGACTCATTTTATAAAGTTCTATGAAAACAATATCTTTATTCCAAATACTCTAACTTGTATTTAGTTTTGCTGGAAGTTAAAAGCAAGGCTCTCATACACCATAAGTCCATATTTTGACGATTTTGATTTTATACTTATGTCTCTAAAACATTAGTTGCTAGATTACTTTCTTTAAGATTACAGTATTCACAATATTGAAATCACAGTGAAATATCCTATATTATGCACATGTATAATCACCACCACTACCTCCTCTTCAGCCTCTAGTTGATGTTTCCTAGAGATAAGAGATGTTCATTTCTGGAGTTTGTCAACTTGCAATATCCTCTTAATTAGCATATCATGGTTGTATAGGATAATGTCTAATGAAATTTTAAGTGAAAATGCTAGATTTTAAATTTACTTCAATAATTATGAATTGAGTACCTGCCGTGACCTTCAAGATAACACCATGGATTTTTCACACTGCATTATTCAATGTGCTTCTGTTTTGAAGAGTTCTAATGTATTTAGATACATGTTTCTACAGATTCTGTCATATGCCTGAAGAGTCTTCTCTTATCCATTAAACATATACTGTTGGTTTCAAGTTCTCTCATCCTCCACATGACTAATTTCCTGGAGCATACACTTTTAAAGTGTATTTAGGGAAATCATTCACTTGTGTCTGACTTGTGCACAGCAAAGCAGTACCACTACCTCTCCAAATCAGGTGCTCTCTTCCTAATAATGCAAACTAAGATTGTATTAGATATTTGGGTAGACTCTTCCTGAGCTAGATAGGTATTACTCATACACTGCAATCTCTGCTGAGCTTTTAAAATCCTGATTTTGGCATCCCACCCATTCAGTATTGCTTTTAAGTTTTGTGTCATTACAGGATTAAACAAACAAACATGATTATCTATGCCTTCATCCAACCTGGTCATTGATAATAATAAACAGACCAAGGCAGTTAAAAGATACAGTCCTGAGGCCGGGCGCAGTGGCTCACGCCTGTAATCCCAGCACTTTGGGAGGCCAAGGAGGGCAGATCACGAGGTCAGGAGATTGAGACCATCCTGGCTAACACAGTGAAACCCCGTCTGTACTAAAAATACAAAAAAATTAGCAGGACGTGGTGGCAGGCGCCTGTAGTCCCAGCTACTCTGGAGGCTGAGGCAGGAGAATGTCGTCAACCCAGGAGGTGGAGCTTGCAGTGAGTGAGCCGAGATCGTGCCACTGCACTCCAGCCTGGGCGACAGAGCAAGACTCTGTCTCAAAAAAAAAAAAAAAAAAAAAGTACAGTCCTGAAACAGGCCACTGCCTTCCTTCCACAGGTGGACACCGTACCTCATTGCCAGCAAGCTATGACCCAGCCCTCAGGCTTCAGTGTTGTCTACATATAGACAATCACTGGAGTGTATCTGGGAAAGCAACATCTTTGAAAGTCCAGAGAAGCTCTTTTGGAGGTGTGCCTTTGTAAATGCTGTCTGATAGGTCCATTCTAAATTTTTGCTAGAAATAAATAGTAAGCTTACTGTTCTAAAATGTATGAAATTCACTCAAACCTTACATATTATTCATTTTAATTGGTACATGACTAACTCCAATATTGCAGCATCCCAGTTATTCTAAAAATTCCCTGAAAGGCCACATATCCAAGGTATCTTACTTTTTTTTTTTAAGCAATCAGAAAATGCATTTGTTTTTGTTTCCCATTCTTCCTTTAAAATTTATTTAGTAAAAAATGATCTTTTTCTTGCTTCTGGATGGAAATTTAGTCATAAATTGAAAATAAACCTCCGAAGTTTTGAGCCACTCTTAAATAATAGACTTTGGTGGTCACATTAAATCACGATTGTCATGTCATTAGCAATTGAAAATGATCTGTTACAAATAATCAAAACACAGAACCTGATTGAATGTCAGATCATCTTCTCTCCTCCAGATGAAAGACTGGGGCGGAGGTCGGCCATGACTCTGCCAGTGGCCAGGGTGGTAGAGGGGTGAGGGAGGGGAGGTAAAGGAGGCAAAAGGTTTTCACCTGCCCACTAACGTCCAAAGTCAGCTCTGAGCAGTCTGGCCCTATTTTATGATTTAAGTTGACTCTTCTCACTGAGACAGCCAGGTGGGAAGGGCTCCCTGACAGAACTTCCAAGGCCTGTGCAGTATAAGGAATGTGCAGTTGGGTGAGCCTTGGGAGGTTCACAACATTTGCAGGGGAGGAGCCTGGCCCCTTCTCTCCTGGGGTGGAAACTGGAATTCAGTCTGCCAGGGGGAAGCCAGCTAGCAGGACTCTGGCTTTGCCGAGGGCCCCTGTTTCATTTTCATCCCCTCTTTTCCCAGTAAATTCCATTTTTTTTTCTCACCCTTCAAAGTGTCTGCAAGCCTAATCTCTCATGGCCATGTAACAAGAACCCGGCTCTTAGCTGAACTAAGGAAAAAGTTCTACAACATCACCAGCACTTGGGTGGATTCTCAGGAGACTCCCTTGCTGGGCCCCACTGGTAGTCACATCTCTTGGAGCCTCTCCTGCCGGGCACTTCTTACCTCCCTGCAGCTTCTGCCCTTTGATGAGGTGGGGTCTTACTTGTTAGGGAATGCTCATATCTCCCTACACTATGCTCCTACAGTATAATAACACTGTCTTTCCTGAAAAAAGGTCATAGTCCTATAGAAGTAGATGAGGAACATAGACATGGAATGTTCCTGTAACAATCCAAGCAAAATGCTTACATAAATATCACTAGCCATAGTTTACTGAGTAAAGGACAAATGGGGGAATGGAGTGTCATGGCCTATGCTAGTCAGCACAAGTTTCATAGAAGAAATGGGTTCTTATCTGGTTCTCACAGACGGCATAGATCCAGATGTTCCATGGAAGGAAAGGGGAATGGTGTATTAAATTGGTTTCTTCTCTATCTTATAAGATCCTGTCCAGTCTTACCTGAATTTTTCATATAGCTTGTGACTTTCTGATAAATCCTCAGCATAGCCAAAATGCTGTCATAAAGTTATGCTATATTTACCTAGTGCTTTGTTCAAAGGAGCTCAGAGAACCTTATAGAAAACAAATTATCCTTGTAACATCACAGTGAAGAGTATGGGAGTATGCATTTCAAGGATATAGAAACCAAGTGCAGCTGAGGAACTTGAGATAACAGATCCATTAAATCTAATTGGCTGATTTTAATGATGTATAATGTAGATTAAGTTAAATCTTTATATAAACTAATATAAGATACGGACTATAGGCTTAATATTTCACAATGATTGTTCACAGTAAGCCACAACAAAAAAAAAATTAGAAAAGAACACATAAACTTAATTGTTTGGATACTTCTTTCCTTTTTATCACCCTGAAGAAACTGATTTATTCTTCAAAAAAGGTTTCAAAACGAGAAATGCTTCTTCTAATCTTTTTCCATGACTTTGTCAACATTCAGTTTTATTCTCCATGTTCTTCACCCCTTACTTCTTAGATCCTGCTGCATGCTTCTCTTTCTTTTTGTGGTTATGAAAATTTAAACACCATACATGTGAGCATTATTATAGGTTCCAAAATGCATCATTCAATCTTAAGTTTCACTACACATTCTGGGATGTATACAATAAACATTTATTCTAGTATAGTCACCAATATGTGAGACTGTGAGCTAAGGTCAATAGTTCGAACATTTGAAGTTTAGAAAAATAAGCTGAACAAACAAATGAGAGAAAACTTAGTACCTAAATAGACTAGTCACTTAAATAATAAGAATGTGACACGGAAAACAAAGCAACCAATGATGAATGGATTCTAAATATTAAAAAAAACAAAGCTGGCTAAAAGGTTTTGCTGAGTAAGTACCTGTAAAATATTTGTTATAATTTTCAGTTACTTTTCTCAAAGGGACTCTGCTACAAGATCTGTTATGAAGAATTTACAGAAAATCAATAATGAGAAGTAGCCCAATATAACAAAATGTAATGACACGGTGAGAGGAAAAGAGAGAAGCTAAGTACTAATCTGTAGAAGTAGTTTTAACAAATGCAGTAAACTAAGAAAACAAAAATTCTCAGGTAAACAAGACAGATGGGTTAAAGAAGATTAATTTACCAAACTATCAATAAATAGTATTTGTTGACATACAAAATGGTAATACTGCACATATTTGGAAACTAAAGAAAAGGAAATTATATTCTTGACAAACATGTTTTTGGCAAAACAAACAAACAAAAACTGCCACTCTTGGCTCCATTCAAAACTCTAGCTGAACTCTACATGTTTCTATTTACTCACTTTTAAGCATTTAAAAAATGCACCACTGCTCAAATTTCTAATTGCCATAGATGTTCTACATACCACTCTTGAGTGACTTCACTATTTTCTTTTACTTCTCTCCTCTGTTCCAACGTCAACCAAACAAATATATTTACTTGACAGTAGAATATATCACTAGCTTTGCCAAAGCATTCCAATGGATAGTTCTCTTTTGTTGAACTGCATAACTTTTGTTTTCTTATTTATAAAATAGGTTATTTGGACATCTTTTCTAGCCCTCACTTTTAATGATTCTAGAAATTCATTTTATTCTTTCAAAACTCTCTTCTAAGTCTTTTTAAGGAAATACTCAACTATGTTATATTACCCTCACAAAGTGCAGAAGTCAGAAGAGAGAGCAGGCAGATGATCACAACAAGTCTAACCATTCTGCAACCATTCTGCATTCATTTACTAAACATCTATTACATTCCAAGAACCATTCAAGGCACTGTGATACAAGGATGAGCAAAACTAAGTCCCTGCCTCATGTATTTCACCATAGTGAAGGGCAGAGAGAGAGAGGTACGACTAGGTACAACTAGGAAAATAGAGTGGATAGTACTTTTGTCTATTAAGAAAGCTTCATCAGCAAGATTATCTTTGAGCAGAGATCTGAAACAAGTTGGTTACAGAAAAGATAACAATAATGTCACAATACAAATGACCAAGTTTCTTTAAACTTTCCTTGGTGTTTTAAATTTTCAATACATTCAATGCATATGCTACCTTAATCACACTCTTGATATATTAATGATGTTTTCACAGTGTTTTCTCTAGACCTACTTCAGAATAAACTGGGATGCATACTGAAAATGTAGATTCATTGGCTATAGGAATGTTAAGGTTGAGGCTAAACCTAGAAATCTGCATTTTAATAATGGCACTCTTGCCTCTCCATAATTTTTTTTCACATCAAATTTAGAGAATCACTGCTCATGATACACATGGCAGAAATAACATGCTGAAAACATTTAAACCTACTCAGTAATTTTGAAATACACAATGCATTATTATTTATTTTAGTCACCATTCTGTGCAATAGATCATTAAAGCATATTCCTCCCATGCATCTACTGAAACTTTGTGAGGCGATGGATTTGTTCATTACCCTGATTTAAGAATCCTATATTGTAAACATATATCAAAACCTCTCATTGTACCCCACAGATCAATACAATTATTATTTGTAAACTACAAATACAATTGCTTAAAAAAAGAAATAAAGTGGTTACTCTATTTTTTATTCAGATTTTTGAATGCTTGGTGGTTATATGCCATAATAAACTACTAATCTTCAAACTTCAGAACTTTTTTGTACCTTTCACAGCCTCCTTGAAACAAAATAATCTCTTTTCAGTGGAGGCACAGCAAGTAAATAGGCAAGGCAGCTAAGGGCATGAAGAAGGGCAGTGACTTCATCATAATTATTTGAACATTTCCAGTGCTCTGAGTCAGATGTTACAGAATGAATTTTTCTGTCACATCGTTCAGTGAGTTGGACATTTGATCTGTTGAGTGAATGGGAGAAAGACTCTTCAACTGACACTGTATTGTCTCTCTTTAATTTCCTAAATTTTAGATGGCAAGGCATTACTTTAAAATGACCTGGATTTTGCTAAGTTTATCCTCTCTCTCTTTCCCTACTAAAGATTGTTATTATTGTATATAACTACCCAAATAGATTTTGGAGATTCCTCAAGAATATTTCCAATTTGCCTAACTGGATCTGCAAAAGACTAATTCATATTTTGTTCATAAATTTTTTTCTTTTCTTTCTTTCTTTTTTTTTTTTTTTTTTTAATGAGAGAGTCTCACTCTGTCACCCAGCCTGGAGTGCAGTGGCACAATCTTGGCTCACTGCAACCTCTGTCCTCTGAGTTCAAGCGATTCTCCTGCCTCAGCCTTCTGAATAGCTGGGATTACAGTAATCTGCCACTGCGTCCGGATAATTTTTTTTTTTTTTTTTTTTTTTTTTTTGTATTTTTAGTAGAGACGGGGTTTCACCCTCTTGGCCAGGCTGGTCTTGAACTCCTGACCTCATGATCCACCCGCCTCAGCCTCCCCATAATTTTAATGATACTTCAGAAGGACACATTAAAAACATCTCAGGAATTGCTAAGGGAAGCAAGACATTAGTAGACGTAAATTTTTCCACAGTCAAATCCATCACAGTCCGCTAATAGTTGATCAGTGAGAGGGACCCATTTCAGTGTCATGTCTTTTAACATATGAACAGTTCTACAGTCCCTTAAAGAGTAAAACACCATGCAAGGGGATGAGGCAGTGAAAAAATACAATATAAAACTCAACAGGAAGTAATCTCCTGGATGTTCTTCTCCAATATGTTCTCAAAGTTATGATAAGTACTGTTCCATATTTTAGTATTTTAAATGATACTTAGAAGGAGCTAAGTCTGGGTCTTATGTTCAGTTTTTAAGGGACAGCTGCTGTGTACCTAAAGCCTTAAAAGACACATTGAGAATACAATACTGTACTCTTATTTGTTAGGAAGCTGGAGATGTAGATAATTTGGATGGATTTTATGAGGATTCTCATCACATTGAAAACTAGACAAACTAAGATGGAATGAAAAAAAAATTGGCTTTAGCTAAAGCAGAATTACATGAAGGCCACTGAAGTGAGAAATGTAGAATACTGTTTTAATTAGAATGAGTCCCATCTATGTTACATAGCTATTCACAGAAAGTTGGCAGCTATTTGATTGGAATACAAGGAGAGGGCACATATTTAATATCACTTCTGCTATACAGTTAGTAGCCCACATTAACCACATGACACTATTTTTATAGATGTGATGACAGCTTGCTTCTCTAATTTCTGAGATATATCACTAACCTGCATTATTTCCAGAGGAATACTTTCCACTTGTCATATGGGAAGCAGTAAAAAGCAGAACCATCATCAGGACGTTTTTACATGTATATGCTTCAAAGAAAATCATTGCCTCCACATATATGTCTCAGAGTGTCCTACCTGCATGTGATCACATCATTTCCAATAATGGCTGCACAAAGTCTGGTGTACCTCTCAGCAAGCAAATGGGTCTTCTAGAGTTAAAACTGTGCAAGTATTTAATATTAATTAAAGTAGCAAATAACTTTAATAAAGAAATAGATTAATTAAATAACTAGATTTTATATAGGTACAATATATAGCCTATGTCTTTTTCTTTTACGTCCAAAAGCAATATAATGATATGTCCTAATACTAATTATATGGGGTTATAGCAGAGACATGTAACACACATATGCGTTTTGACATGTACTCACACAAACATCCCTTTTGGCTTGTAACACAGCACAGTCATAGATTCTGGGGATTAGGATGTGGACGTCTTTGGAGGAGTCACTATTCTGCGTATCACACAGGGGTTGACAATAGCCCATGAGCCAAATCTGACCTGCCATCTGTTGTAAGTTACTTTTTATTGAAATACAGCCACACCTATCGGTTCATATTGTCAATGGCTGCTTTCAGATTATAACACCATATTTCAGTGGATGTGACAGAAGCCATTATGGCTCTCATGTCTGAAATTCTTTACGATCTGACTCTTATCTAAAAAAGTTTGCTGACCCCCTGCTCCAACAATAGCACAATCATACTAAAGTGTTTTTAAAGAATATCAATTATGTATTATAATTAACAATAAACTAAATTTGAAACATGAGAAGGATGTCTACTGAAGAAATTTAGGCTATAACCAAAAATGTAGCCAGAGAGCAATTTCTATCTCAATTTCAGTTGTTGGAAGAGCCTTTAATCTCCTTGTCTAGTAGCATTTCAAGACTCTCCATAAAAGTTACCAAGAACTGTAAACAGACAAAATATCAGAAACCACTTCCAAATGGATAAAGCTAGGGCAGAAAAGTAATTCAAAAAGTAAAGGCATATCAAACAGCCCTTTGTGAAAATTACGGATGCACACACTGAACTTTTCAAAGTTTTGCCAAGTGATTTTTAAATCCTTAGGTTATTAACCTTTATATTCATGAAAATACCCACTGATGAATGTTGGAATTTCTTTTCATTGTTTCTCATGCTTATCTAATGATAACAAGCATATTCGTTACAGTTGTCACTGTGTTTTCCACTATGATTTACAAAGGTCATAGGGTCATGGTTAATTTTCATTTAAAATTGGTTTATACACATAAAACAAATTTCTTAATTTGTTAGCTTCATGCTATTAGAATGCACGCAAATATGGCAAAGAAAACAAAACCTACAAGCCCAAATTTTCATTAGATCAATTTGAGAACTACAAACATAACGCATTTATCTCAACCCTGAAAGCAGCAGTACCCTACCTATACCATTTGGAGTTGATGCCCAGAGGAAAAAAAATTTAAAAGCCAAGATGAGACTGCAGGCTGGTATGGTCCACTCTATCTTTCCATTTGAAATGGAACTACATGAAGACTTCATTTGGAAAAAGTATGCATTTTCAGGCTTGCAAAGTTGATAGAGCATGAGATAACTAAAATGCATTTTACCTTCTTTTTCTTCTGACTCATCTTTAAAGATAAAGATGTTATTCACCTTGGAAAGTCACAGTAGGCCCAGACCTGTCAGACACAAGGGATCCTAATAGCATATGTGTTTGTCTACATAGGGATCTACTCATTGCACTCATTGGCCCTCAAGAATTATTTTCAATAAGATGATTAACTTTCCTTATGCATTATAGGATCTAAAAATTTGATGAGTATAAATGTCACTCTTAAGTGATATAAAAAACAAATTTTTGGAGGGAGAAAAAAATTTGATATTTCTTTAAAGCAATTAATTGTTATGCTTAAGCACTAAAGACCATATACCCTAACTTTATAGGTCATGACAATGAAGCCATCAGCCTGAAAAACTGAACTAAGAATAGTGTCTTACTAATTAATGACTAATCTGGTTAAAGCTGCAATTGGCTTTGCTAAACAGAATTTGGAATTGCTAGGTTCCATATTTTATTACCTATTCCTATCAGTTCCCAAGAGCCTTATTATATTTAACATATTGTAAATGCTATTTGTTAAAAAGCTTTCTGAGACACATTTTTAAAAGAAAATGTTAACAGGCTTTTCCTGTTAACTCACTATAACTCACTGTAACTATTAATTCCCATTCTTCCTTTTTTTTTTCACATGGCATTTTAATAAAATGTAATTTTGAAGTTATTCTTTCCTGAAAGTATAACGGATATTTTTGATATAAGAAAATAAGTGAAAGTAGACAGATTTGATATTAGAGATGTGTCATTTCTAAAAAAATTTGAAGGCAACAAATATGGGCATGTATATGTGTATACATGCATATATATAACTATATATTAATATATATATGTGGATGTATATGTGTGAAGGTTGGAGGTGGGGGGATGGGTGTGTTTGTATTAGTTGTCTCTTGTCATCCACAGGGGGTTGGTTCCAGAACCCCTTGCAGATACCAAAATCCATGGATGCTCAAGTATCTTATATATATTTGCATATAACCTATGCACATTCTGTTGTATACTTGAAATCATCTCTAAATTGCTTACAAGACCTAATACCATAATACAGTGTAAATACTATGTAAATAGTTTTTATACTATATTTTTACATTTGTATTTTTATTGTTATACTGTTATTTTTCATTTTTTTCCAAATATTTTTGATCTGTGGTTGGTTGAATCCACGGATGCAGATACTGAGGGCCAACTGAATATATGTACATATGTGTGTGTGTGTGTGTGTGTGTGTGTGTGTGTGTATATATATACATGAAGTTCAGGCTTGTTCTAATAAATTTCAGTCTGCATATTTAAGATATATTTTTTCTTCACATTTCAGCTAACATTATATTTCAAAATAGATCTTTTTTGTCTTCTCTTCAATGGAAATAAACTAATCTCAGTACATAGAATATATCTTTATAAGACTGGTAATAATATTATGATATTCAATAAATAAACCACATATTCCCTCCCTTAGTGAACAGTAATACTTCCCAAAGTATTTCACAAAATCTAATTTTAGCAATAAAATAAATGTAAATACAATAAGCTTTAGAAATTCAAAACACTAAAGTAGAAGGGCTGTATATATTGTACAGACAACAGTGAGATGGATATTTTAAATAAAAGAGTCCAGAGCAGCCCAGAGAGGCTCAGTTGTGTGGTCAGTAACTGGAGGAGCCTCTGAGAAGAGGCACGATGTGCACGGCGGGCAGATTCCAAACAAGAGCGCCTAGAGACTTTTTCTTCTCTAGCATAAAATTGTTCCTCTTTCTATTCTCCTCTCCCCATCCACTTTTTTGTAACAGATTTCTACATGTATACATACATTTTAAACATGGGCTTTCTAGAGTGGAGATATATTCTCGTGGGAACCTGGTCAATTCACTTACTCAAAATACTGAAAGACACAATTAATTCTAAGTGACTTCTGATAATTATCTCATCATTCTTACATGCTGACTTTCATTGTCATTCCAGTACTAGCTGGTGCTTAATAAAATTTGTTGACTATGTTCTTTGTTTTCCATATGTAGAAAATATTTTTAGTACATGGTTTATATCTTCTGTAAATCAGCTGACAAAACACATTTCCAGAACATAAAAGACAGACTCAAAGCTTAAATACGTTCATTTCAAATAGTTTTATTATACTCAAATAGTGAGACTATTTCAACACTATTTTTGAGACTACTCTTTTTTAATTTATTAAAAAAGCTTCCTTTAACATGTCCTTTAAGTTCTAAATAATGATTTCATCTTTATCAAAGTCTCGTGATTCATTTGCACAACTGTTCTCTGCATAAGAAACAGAGTACACATTCTGATACTGGGTGCTTCTTCAGTAATTCTATAATCTGATACAGAGAATTAATCTCTTACTACATTCTCCCAATACTTGTAACTGTAGAAAAACAATAAAAACATATATTTTTGTAAAAAATTTTGAATACACAAATTCTTTATTCAAAAGCAAATGTTCAGAAGTTAAAAATGTCTCCCAGTTCTCAGTGCAGTGAAGAGATGAGGGCTATACTAAGGTATGAGGAGGTAGATATTGTAGAACTAAAACACGTTCTTAAGGTTAGATAGAACTAGTATGGTCACATTTTGACAAAAGCAGGAAAACACCTAATAGTTTAAATATTAACTAATAGTTTAAATAGTTTAAATAGTTAAACTATTTAGAATAGTTTAAAGTTAAATAGTTTAAATAGTTAAACTATTTAGAATAGTTTAAAGTTAAATAGTTTAAATATCAAATGATCTTTGAAAGTTATTGCAGAGAGATTTGAAATTTTTATTAAATAATCCAGGAAGCCTGGCTCATCTTAGAAAAAGTGATTCACAGAAAAGGTGATTATCATTTTTCTATAAAACTAAGGCTGATTTTTTTCAGGAAATCAGAAACTACACAATAGTAGAAAATACACAAATTTTACAGCCAAAAGAATGTGAGTTTAAATTATGCTATGTCATTCACTAACTATATGGGCTTGGGATAATGACTTAATCACTTTTTCCTTTATTTTTTTTTCAATGTAAAGAAAGGTCAACTTCATAAAAACTTTGCAAGGATAAAAATATGTACAAGTAAATCATGAAACTGACTTATTTTAATACAGGAACTATGAAAGTACAATAAGGAAGACTTTCATAGGGATCACTTTCCTTGCTCCTCCACTTCAATGATTTAAGTATTTGAAGTGAATATTTAAATAATAAGTAGACATTGAAAATTTGTACAGAGGACTGAACAAAATCTGAAGCATTTCAGCTGCAGTTGGATAGATTTAAGAATGGGTTCTTTTCATTCTGAGATGAAAGATTTTGATTTAGACAATGCGATCACCTAGGTAGTTATAATAAGCCTTCCCTGATCCTTGACTTAGTATTTCTACACGCTACCCACTCCACCCAGCACCCCCTTCCTCTGAATTAATCATTCCCCTCTGCACTGTTTATAACTTTTACTGTGGCATGCAACTTAAATTTTTTCTTTCCTACCACATAGTGAGATCAAGTTTTATTTAAAGATAAAACTCACCAATTTTAAGTATATAGTTTAATGCTTTGGATAATTGTATACTACCATGTAAGCACCACTACAGTTAACAGGCTTTTACTCACCTCATCTTCTCCAGTGCCTAGCACAAAGCTTGGTAAAGATGTGTGCACTGATAAATGATTTATTAACTATTATTTGGATAAATTGAAGAGAATTTTATCATGAAAAAAGCATAGAATAACCATTCTTTGTTTCTTTATAATACATATACTCATTTGGATAAATTGAAGAGAATTTTATCATGAAAAAAGCATAGAATAATCATTCTGTTTCTTTATAATACACATACTCATAACAAGTTAATATATTTGCAACTATAAAAGTCTAGAAAATGTATTCTGGTGTTATCAGTTGAAAGAATGACTGTTAGAAAGGTAATTCCATAAGCAAGTCAGTGCCCAGTGGATGGTACTTACATTAGCCAAATGAGCTAGTTCTATCTCCAGAAACGAATCGGTTGTTTTGGGTTCAGGCCTTATTGTGACCACGATGATTTTGGAATTAATGACAGTATAATTTCTGCAACAGAGTAATTATAATTAAAAGGAGAAATGAGTGCTGAAAAGTATAAATTCCTACTGCTCAATACATTTTGGGATGGTTTCAAATAAATGCATCCAAAGCAAAAACATAAATCGTAGTATTATTCATGGAAAGACACATTTTACTGCTGTAAAGAAACCTTATGTGGAACAGAAAACTTAGGGAGAAAAGGCCATTTTACCATTTTAGATGCAGAAAATATGAGAAAGCAACAGCACTGATAAGCTTTTGATTACTTAAATCTGATTCACCTACAAGAGATATGGATTGTGAATTCAAACCTTCAGACAATATTTAAATGAATATAATTCATTTATATCAAGGAGGACCTAAGAGTTTTGTTCTCTCGGAGATCAAATACTCTTATTGCAATGTGCTGTCTTGGTGTTTTATGGATTATCCCAAAACACATTACAATAAATAATTGCAATGTGGAGTAACATTAGAGCAAACAGAGTTTAAATAGAAATAAATGCTGTTGCTAATTATTGACCATAATTTATTTCGACAATAGAGATTGACAGGCCACTGCTTGATCTCAATACTCTCAATCTAAGAAAGACATTTTGCCTGAAATATCTTACCAAGATATTTCATTTACAAAGAAGTTTAAGTTATTTTAAGAAAATCATATCTATAGTTTACAAGAAATTATCTACCAATATAAACATAAAACTGAACCAACTTTTTCTAGTATATGTAGGTTTTCACACAAAATATGTAAAATGCTGCAGATCATCTAGTATTTAGAGATTTAAAGATGATTTAATTTTACTCATAACACACTTGAGTGTGTGTTTATGTGTGAATATATTCCTGTTTGGAATTGTGAAATAATAAACCACATGCTCTTCCATCGGTCATGTACTATTCTGGAGAATTCACATTAGGTATCAATGACAAAATCATTTAATTTTTTTCTCCTTTTTTGTTTTTTGAGGTAGTATTTACAGATAAAACTCACAATTTTAAGTACATAGTTTAATTCTTTGGATAATATACTACCATGTAAGTACCACCACATTTAACATAGACAAACAATCCCTTACCCTAAACAGTTTTCTCAAGTCCCTTTGTATTTCATCCCCTACCCTTCCATGCTCCCAGGCAACCACGGACATGCTGCTGTTTTAATTTTAACTTAATTCATTTAGCATAACATTTTTGAGATTCATCTATTTTGTTTCCTTTTACAGTTGAGTAATATTGTATGGTACAAATACAGCACAATTTATTGATGTATTTATCAATTAGGTTAAAACCTTTAGGTTATTTCTGATTTTTAGCCTTTAGAAATAATAGCTAATGATATTTGGCTATTATAAATAATTACCATACACATTTTATGTATGGATATATATTTTCATATGTCTAAGGTGAATATCTGAGAGTGGAATTCCTTGATTATGCTGTAAAGGCATACTTAATTTTATGTTACTCCCATATTGTTTTCTAAAGTGATTGTACCATTTAAGTCATATAGTTCTGATACGGTGGAACCATGCTGAACCTAGCTTTTTTTGAGATTTGTTTTTCTCTAATGAGGTGGTTTTTGGCACAAGATTTCATCAGAAAAAAATGCGGAGTTATTCCGTGGTTGGAGGAATTTACTATATCTAGTAGCAGAGGAACTATACACCTGTTTCGCATGGGTTAACATTTTTAAGTGCATTTCTCATGTATGCAGTAATGTCAAATGACACTTTTTTAAACACTCAGGAAGCTATTCAGCCTAAGAGTAAAGAGTTAAAAACAACAAAGCATAAGTCTATTTTGTTTTTGTTAAGAGGAAGATTGTTGCAGACAGAGAGAGCTGGTTAACAGTCTTTTTTTTTTTTCATTAAATGATAAATGAGTCAATTGAAGGTACAGTACATTTTGAAGGACAGAAAACTAAGCTCTAAATGTCAAGCTTCTTTTGCCAAATTATTCTTCCATGTTTTTCTGTGAGTAAAAGTGATCAGGGAACCAAGTGAGAATAGAGAAATTGACAAAGTTGAGAGGTGATCCTGGGTGGTTGATCATATTAGCACAGCTGGCAGGCCTCCCAGAGAATGGTGTATACAGCTTAGAGTTAGGGGAAATATCCACCTGTCATTACCAGAGAAATTATGAACATTTCTCCCAGAGAAGAATCAGTCCTGAACAGACAGATGTAAGTTCCTTTTTTGGATTAGCCTGAATATGTTTAAGTTCTGGTTTGGTTTTGCAAAACAAAAATATTGATGCTTCACTCAAATTCCATTTGTCTCTTTATTCTGGTTCTCTTTATAATCCTAGTTACCGGCTTTTAATAAAACCCAATGATTACCAATTTTAATTATTATTAAATTATTATATTAGAAAGGTATCTCTATTATGTTTAAGTTCCATGAATGGATACATTACTGGAAAACAAACACAGATGTGGGTATCCTATAAAGAAGATTGCAATTTTGTCAAGATATTTATGAAGCTCCCTGTGTGTTTGGGAATGTGGAGACTTTGGCCCTGAATGGCTGGTCTGTAAGGAGCAAAGTAGCTACAATAAGTTGCCTTCTGCAGGGTATATTACACTGTGTTAGGTTCATCAGCTGCTCATCTGGCCTGGTGGAGAAGTTCCCTAGAGGACAGAATCAACCCTATGGCTTTTGCTGAGAGAGAAGGAGAGACAGAGGAGGAGAGAGAGAGAGAGAGAGAGAGAGAGAGAAAGAGAGAGAGAGACAGAGAAAGAGAGAGAGAGAAAGAAAATGTGTGTATGTTTTAATATATTTAGAATATATTTGAGAAGAGATATGTGTCAATTTATTCATGCATATCAGTGTGCTAATACCATTCATGTGAATCCCTGACACCTTGTGCCCCAATACAGTAACGTGCACCTACCTCTACGAAAGCATCCATCAATTCTACGCATGTCTTTTTCCATATGATAATAAGCTCAATGAGAGCAAGATTTTTATCTATCATTTATATGTCCTCATTCGTATTATTCTTTGGAACATTTTAATACTTAAAACATGTTTGAGTGTTTTGTTTAATAAGCAAATACTAAACAAAAATGTCAAAATTTTAACAAGTTGATTTAAAATGTAATGCCAATATCATGGTATTAAATGCCTAATAAAGGAAAATAAATAAGCAAATTTACATTATGCAATGGCTTCCTTTTCAAAAAGTGTATAGTGTACAAAATTGTCTTTAATTTATTCCATCAATTTATTCTAATTTGCACAAGTGAATAGCTGGCTTCTGATATGCCATGTCAGGCTTTGTGATCTGCTAATGCTCCCTGGCTGGCTGCACATTTGCATTCACTGCTAGAAAAGCAGATCTGACAGCCAAATGGATTTCATGACTCAAATAATAAAATTATTTTCTGTCCTTGAGATTTATGCTCGTTGATATATAAAACATTTCAAAATATATAGAATTAATCATTCAAAGGTAACCCAACTTAATCTTCACATTTTTTTGCAGAGTCTTAAGAAGTTAAAGGCACATGAACCATATCTTAAAGAGAGTATAAAAAGTGATTAAAAATACAATTCAGTTGTCTACAACAGACTCACTTTGTATATAAGGGCATCCATAGACTGAAAGTAAAAGTATGGATAAAACATCCTATGTAAAAGATAACCAAAAGAGAATGAGGTTGGCTACACTTATATCAAACAAAATAGACTTCAAGTCAAAAACTGTTTCAAGAGACAAAAAAAGACACAATGTAATGATAAAATGGTTGATTCTCTGGGGAGGTATAACAATTATAAATATATGTGCACCTAATGTCATAGCACCCAAACATGTGAAGCAAACATTGAAATAATTGAGGAAAGAAATAAATAGTAACAATATAATGGGATATTTTAATATCCCATTTTTAATAACTAGACAGATTAACTAGATAGATTACCTAGACAGAAAATTAATAAGAAAACAGATGACATGAATAACATTATAGATGAATTGGACCTAACAGGCACATGCAGAACACTCCATACAACAACAGCAGAATACACATTCTTCTCAAGGGCAGACAGAAAATTTTCCAGGATAGACCACATGTTAAGCCACAAAACAAACCTTAACAAATTGAAGAAGAGTGAAATCTTACCAAGTATCTTTTCCGACTACAATGGAATAAAACTAGAACTCAATACTAAGAAAAACACTGAAAAATTGAGAAATATGTAGAAATCAAACAGCACACTTTTGAACAACCAGCGGATCAAAGAAGAAATCACAAGAAATATTGGAAAATATCATGAGACAAGTGAAAATGAAAATACAACATACCACATAACATATGTGAGGCAGCAAAAAGGTACTAAGAGGGAAGTTTATAGCAGTAAACACCTACATTAAAAAAGAAGAAAGATCTCAAATCAAAACCTGACTTTATACTTCAGAGAACTTGAAAAAGAGGCATAAACTAAACCCAAAGTTAATGAAGAAAGATAATAATAAAGATTAGAGCTGAAATATACAGAATAGAAAATAGCAAACCCATGTAAAAATCAACAAAACTAAGAGTTGATTTTTGGAGAAAAAATATACAAAATTGACAAACCCTTTTTAAAAAGAGTAAGTGAAAAGAAAGAGAGAAGACTCAAATAACAAAAACCAGAAAAAAAGGAGGAGACATCACAACTGATGGCACTGAAGTAAATAGTATCATAAGAGACAGCTATGAACAATTAATTATATGTCAACATACAAGATAACCTAAAAGAAATAGACAGATTTTAAGAAAAAATATAACACACCAAGACTGAAGCATGCAGAAATTTTATTTCTGAATAGACCCATAACTAGTAAAGCGATTGAATCAATAATCAAAAACCTCTCAACAAAAGTCTAGAGGACCAGAAGTCTTCACTAGAGAATTCTATGATACATTTAAAGAAGAATAAACACAACTCATTCTCAAAGTCTTCCAAAAAATTAAAGCAGAGAGCACTTTTAAACCCATTATAGGAGGCCAGTATTACCTGGATACTGAAATCAGACAAAGATACTATATATAAAAAAAAGGAAAACTACAGACAAATATCCTTAATAAATATTGATGCAAAAATCCTCAACAAAATGCTAGCAAACCAAATTCAGCAGCATGTTAAAAAGTTTATATATCATGACCAAGAGAGATTTATTTCTGAAATGCAAAGATGTTTCCACAAATGAGAATCAATCAGTGTAATACATCACATTTACAGAATGAAGATCAAAAACTGCATGACTGTCTCAATTGATTTTTAAAAAGCATGTGACAAAATTCGACACCCTTTCATGATAAAATCGCTTAATGAACCAGGAATATGAAGAAATTATCTCAACATAGCAAAGGTCTTATATGCAAAACCCACATCTAATATCACACTTTATGGTAAAACAAACAAAACAAAACAAAACAAAAAAACCCTGAAAGTTTTTCCCCTAAGATCAGAAATAAGACAAAAATGCCCTCTCTTGCCAGTTTTATTCAACATAGTACTAGAAGTCCTACAAACAGCAATTAGGTAAGAAAAAGAAATAAAAGGCATCCAAATGGGAAAGGAAGAGGTAAAATTACCTCTGTTCATAGATGACATGACTTTATATGTAGTAAACCCTAAAGATTACACACAGACACACATTAAAAATCTTGTTATAATTAAAGAACAAATTCAGTGAAGTTGCAGAATGCAAGAAAATTAACGCACAAAAATCAATTGTTTCCATACATTATCAATGAACAATCTAAAAGGAAATTAATAAAAGAATCCCATTTAAAAAGCATCAAAATAAATAAAATATGAGTAAACTTAAGGAGGAAAGAGTTATACATTGAAAACTATAAAACATTTCTGAAAAAAATGAAGGAAGAGACAGATAAATGGAAGGAAATCCTGTGTCCATGAATTAGATGACTTAATATGGTTAAAATGTCCATATTACCCAAAGCAATCTATCCAAATGGTATTTTTGCAGAAATGGAAAAAAATATAAAATTCACATAAAATCTCAAAGAATTCTTGACAGCTGGAGCAGTCTTAAGAAAGAAAGGTATTCTCTATTTTCAAGCTATATTACAAAGCTACAGTAATGATTATTTTTAAAGTATGGTACTGGTGTCAAGACAGACATATAGACCAACAGAACAGAATAGAGTACACAGAAATAAATCCTCATGTATATGGTCAAATGATCCTCGACAAGGGTGCTAAGGCTACACAATGAGAAAAGGATAATCTCTTCAACAAACAGTGTTGGAAAAACTGGATATCCATGTGCCTACACCATATAAAAAACAACATAAAATGGATTAAGATGTAAACATAAGACTAGAAACTATAAAACTTTTAAAAGAAAACATAGAGAAATACATTCAAATCATTGAACTTGGAGATGACACCAAAAGTACAGGGAAGAAAAGCTAAAATGAGCAAATAGGACTTCATCAAATTAAAAAACAAAACAAAGTAACTTTTGTGCAGGAAAGAAAACAGTGAGTAGAATGAAAAGGCCACCTATGAAAAGGGAGAAAATATTTGCAAACTATGTATCTGATAAGAGGTTAACATCCAGAATATATAAATAACTCCTAAACTTGACAACAAAAACCCAAACCAAATTATCAAATTAAAATATGGGCAAAAGACTTGAATAGACATTTTTTCCAAAGAAGGTACGCAAATGGACAACAAGGATATAAAAAGATGCTCTACATCACTAATCATAAGAGAAATGCAAATCAAAACTACAATGGGTTATCACCTCACACCCACTAGGATAACCATTATTAAAAAACAAAAGACAGGCTGGGCGGGGTGGCTCATGTCTGTAATCTCAGCACTTTGAGAGGCCGAGGGTGGCGATCTCATGAGGCCAGGAGTTTGAGACCAGCCTGGCCAACATGGGGAAATCTCATCTCTATTAAAAATACAAAAATTAGCCAGGCGTGATAGTACACATCTGTAATCTCTGCTACTTGGGAGGCTGAGGTAGGAGAATTGCTTGAACTGGAGAGGTAGAGGTTGCAGTGAGCTGAGATCTGTACCACTGCACTCTAGCCTGTGCAACAGAGCGAGACTGTGTGCACAAAACAAAACAAAACAAAACAAAGCAAAACAAAAAAAAACAAAAACAAAAAAACAACATAACAAATGTTGACAAGGATGTGGGAAAATTGGAACCCTGATGCAATGTTGGTGGGAATGTGAAATGGTGCAGCTGCTTTGGAATACGGTAGGCAGTTTCTGAAAAAACAAAAAATAATCCAATGATCTCTCTTCTGAGTATATGTCCAAAAGAATTGAAAGAAAGATCTCAAAGAAATATTTGAACACCCATGTTCATCATGTGTAATTGACAATTGCCAAGAGGTGGAAGCAAGCTGATTGTCCATCAATGGAAGAATGGATGAAGAAAATGTGGTATATACATAAACAATGAAATATTCTTCAGCCGTATAAAAAGAAAAAAAACTTATCATATGCTACAAGACAAATGAACCCAAAGGATATTGTGCTAATTGAAATAAATCAATCACAAAAAGATGAATACTGCATGATTCCACTTACATGAGGTATTTAAAGCAGTCACACTCAGAATCAGAAAATAGAATGATAGTTGCTAAGGGTCAGAGGGAGTGGGAAAAGGGGAGTTGTGCTTTAATGTGTATAGTCTTAATTTTGCAAGATGAAAAGTTTCTAGAGATGTTACACAAGTGCATATAGTTAACATTGTACTGTACACTAAAAATAGTTATTATGGTAAATTTTATGTTTTTTTAACACAATAAAAAATGTAATGCAGTTATAGAAAAATCACCAATGGAGGAGATGGCAGAACTAATAGCACACATACAGTATTGCCAGATAAGATACAACAAAAAGATGTTATGGGTTTAATGGAAGTTAGTAAAGTTACTATAGTCCTTTTCCATTTTTAGATTTATAGTTCATGTAGCTTCAAAAATGAAACTTTCATAAATGTTTTAAGTGAATAGACCAATTTAAATAAGACCAAAATAAAACAGATGATTTCATATAGTATGGGAATTTGGGTACTTTATCAAAATTTTAAAGCTGAATATCTTTGTTTTTAAAACTAAAATCAGTTGACAGCTGCTACAAAGTAGGATTGGGTTTACTTAAAGCTTGAAAGGAGTTAGAATTTCACTGTAGGTTGCTAAGATATGTAGAATCTAGAATTTTAAAAATGCCAAGTGATCAGAGATTTACATTCACTTTTAAAATATCTGACCAAACTAAACCGAGATTTTAAAAAATAACGCACTAAGTAACACCACAATATTTTATACTATAAGCTACGCCAATTTGTTATTTCCATAGATAATTTAAATTTCTAATGTTTTCATGAGAAGACATTCTAAAAAGGTACAGAACGTCACAAAACTAGAATATTCCATTGCAAAGTGAGAATTAAAAAGGAAGATTCAAAGTTTAGGTCCTAAACCTAAGGACATGAGCTCTGGAGAGAGCTGACTGCTTCAGGTTGATTGCTTTCAGCGTGCATTTGTGTAAAAGTGATTATGTCTTCAATTTTCTATTATTTCCAATATTATTTTTCTATTCATTTTTAATTTCTATAGCATTAGGAATTCAAATGAGTTCAATTTCCTGAATATATAAAAATTTCAGCCTCATTTATCTTAATTAGGTTAGTGTACTTGACAAGAAATTCATTTGATTTTTGCATTATTGAAATTTGTTCCTTTCTTTAAAAATAATTTTGTAATAACTTTTGGTTTATGAAGACACTTTAGTTTTCATTCATCTGTATTTTCCTTTATTCCACTATAGTGGAATTTACATATAATTTTATTAGTTCTTTTATAATGTCTTTAATGTTAATCATTACATAAGATGCATTTTTTAAGGGACTACATTTTTCATGTCTTAACAGGATAACGACATACTGCTCACATACTCAGAACTTTCATGGCTTTCCCACAAAATTGGAAGCTGAACTTATTAAATGAATCAGACAAATGATTGTTTATAACCATTTATTGATTTCTTGGCTTGAGGGTATACTTGGATATACTTTTCTATTTCCTTAGAGATTATTTCCTTAAAATAAATTCTTAGAAGTAGAATTGCTATATCAATGACAAAGCACTTTTAAGGCTCTTGGTATTGCCAAATTGGCCTCCAAAAATGCTATAAAAGTAAGTTAAAATTCTCAGAGCAGTTTACGAGCTTGCCAAGATATGGATGTTTTCTAATTCCTTAATGTGAATGTGGTCTGTGTGTCAATATCTCACTCTCTCAAAGGACCCTCTGAACTGGGCTGGACATGCACATAAGTGGTCAAGGGGGAATGGGAGGTGTGACAAACTCAAGCCTTGGTATTGACAGCCTGGGCTGGGGCCACCAGGCCAGCCCCAGTGCTCCCTGAAACTGCCCACACATAGCCACCCACTCTGGCTCTTACAAGATTTTCTGCAATGGATACAGATATACTCATGTGCTATCATGGAAGTCTATGGTTTGTATTGCTTAAAATAATAAATAGTAACAGAATAGAGGGAATGAGATATAGTAGAAGAGTCCTGGTTTTAGCAAACAAGATAAGTTGTATTATAACTCAGTTACCTAATGGACATATAATCTTAGGCAGGTCACCTAAGCGATAAGGATCTCAGTTCTCTTATCTATAAAATGAGAGTTCTAGCTCACACTAAACCCTAAAAGACCTTACAGCATTAATATCCTATGGTTCTATACATTTTTTTTTATGGAATCTTGCTCTGTCACCCAGTGCTGGAGGGCAATGGTGGGATCTCTGCTCACTGCAACCTCCACCTCTGAGATTCGAGTGATTCTACCACCTAAGCCTCCCAAGTATCTGGGACTACAGGCACACACCACCATGCACGGCTAATTTTTGTATTTTTAGTAAAGACGGGGTTTCACCATGTTGGCCAGGCTGGTCTTGAATGCATGACCTCAAGTCATCCACCCGCCTCGGCCTCCCAAAGTGCTGGGATTACAGGCGTGAGCCACCATGCCTGGCCCATCCATATTTTCTATCTATAAGAAATTATTCTGAAGAAGGAAGTTGAGAGGCTGAGAATAACACATATTTAGTATGGACTTCATCTGAAGCATATTTCCTTCAGTTGAAGTAACAATCTGAACCTACTTAACTTTAAAAGGGAAGACAATTGAATAGTAAAATAAAAATTGCAGCTCAAGGGACAGTTGAATGTATATTAGGGCTAAGAGAAGAAGAGAAATATCTCAATAAAAGAGAGAGTCAACATGCAAAATTATTTTTGTCTTTGTATGAAGGACAATTTCTAAACTATATTTATTCAAAGCATTACAGCAAGTCCTCCTTCATAGTCTCTATGAGAAAAATTATGAAAATTATTATACCAAAATATACCATTTCTGGAAACCTAACAGCAAAACTACTCTTATTATTTCTGTGTATAACAAACGTGGCTTCACATATTTCAACAGATAATTAGTAAAATCCTCAACAAGGAATATATTTTATAAAACTTTGTAAATAACTGAACACATAGAATGAATTTGTACTTTTTATGTTGAATAAGAAGATCTTTCCTATTGAGTTCAATTCACACAAACATATAGTAAAATTACAAAATACACATCTTTTAATCCTCTGGTCCTAAAATATTTTCATAGTACAAACATTAAACTTCTGTGTGCCTTATTTTTAAAGATGTCTTATATACGATATTTTATCAGATAGAAAAATTAATTATTACTGCGGTGGCTCATGCCTGCAATCTCAGCACTTTGGGAGGCCGAGGCGGGCAGATCACGAGGTCAGAAAATCAAGGCCATCCTGGCTAACATGGTGAAACCCCATCCCTACTAAAAATACAAAATTAGCCCGGCGTGGTGGTGGGCGCCTGAAGTCCCAGCTATTCAGGAGGCTGAGGCAGGAGAATGGTGTGAACCCGGGAGATCTTGCAGTGAGCGGAGATCGCGCCACTGCACTCCAGCCTGGGCAACAGAGCGAGACTCCGTCTCAAAAAAAAAGAAAATTAATTATTACAGAAAAAAATCCTTGACCATTTATTAAGAACTGTTCTGAGAGTTGCGATAGCAGGGGAAGTTTAAAAGAATTAATACAGTACTGTTAGCAGGGACGCTGCTCAGTAAATATTTGCTGAGTGACTGTAGAAAAAAGAATCACCCTTGTTCATTAAGAAGTATATTTTCATTTAGCAGACCTATAATTGGTGCAGTTACTCATTAGACTTTCTGGAAGAATGTTTTGAAAAGGAGAAAAACAAGCTCGAGGGTACTTAGTGGTCACATTATGTTACTTTAAGAGATAAAAGAAAATGAGAAGTAAACACTAGTACTTCACCTTTCTAAGAGTACTTAACAAATATTTCATCCTGAGCATTCTATTGTCCTTATATCTGGTCAATGATCTAAGCACTATTTAGTTGTCCTATAGACATTTACTAAATTACTTTATGGATACAAAGAATGTACAGGTAAACAAATTTGTAATTCTTATACAGAGGTTATTAAGGACTTCAATCTAAAGAATATGTAGAAACTTTCTGCAATGAAAATATAATTTCTGAAGGTGAAAAAAATTTTAAGTTCAATTACCACATTTTACTTATTAAAAAAAGTCAGTGACTTGCCCAGTGGTCTATCTGAATCCCTTTATGTTACACGTGGCATCAGGGGAGCCAGTCCATAAGACTAGTCTCTACTATATCCATTAAATCATCCATAATGTATCCATTAATCTATCCAGAAGCTGTAAGAGACAAACTGCCTCTGTCATGAAATTTTTTTTAAGTTGAAACACTAATTAAATGTTTCTTTTTCATTTTACAAAAAAGGCTGGGATCCCTTGGGAAATTTCCTGAGGAAATTTCCAATTATATTGACTGCATACATTTATAAAACTTGGAATAACCTGACTTCATTTGTGTAGGTGAGTGAGTGCTATGAGATTATATGGAACAAGATTATCATAATGCAACATTGCTGGACATCTAGGAGGGAAACTAATCTAAAAAATTTATGTTGAATATTTCATTTGTATTCACTATGTATCTCAAGAGCAAATAGGGAGAATGTAGCACATAAATACATTTCTATTTTAAAGTTGAACTGAAGGCACACAATTACTGAGTGACTGGACAAGTTTATAAAATTCTCAACATGTTTAATTGAAATGAAAACACAAGTCACCTGATTTTAAGTTAGTGTCTAGAGTTCTTAAAATATAAGCTTTATATAAACGAATTCCCTGTTGAAATAAGTGACTAACTTTGATTATCTGAACATTTTTAACTTTAGCATACCTCTCCTCAACATCAAACACAAAGATATAGGCAGTGTAACTATGACTAAATTTTATCTGTGAGTAACTGTAAATACCAATGAGTTTTAATAAAACCACTGGAAAAGCTGAGAGTAGACTTTTTTGTTTTCAAACTTTTTTCTTAGCAAAACACAAACACAAATAGATCCAAATTGAGGAAGTCTAAATTCTATTCAGAGGAGAAGGGAGGTAAATAAATTTCAGCTTCCCATGGCTGTCTCTATGGTTGAAGGAGACCCTGCATGACAACCACAGGGGCTCTGGATGACTCTCCACCTATATTAATAACGTGCTTCACGTAGAAAGATTTTCTCTAAAGATTCAAGCCTAATCACTGCTGCTTCCTTGGGTGATTTTTTTTTCATCTGCACTGAACTCTAATTGTTTTTATTTATTAGACTATTTGTTTTGTCCGCAGTATAACTGCACACATCATTTATATTCTTTCCTCTCCAAAAATGTAAAGCTTTATTTATGAGGGTATAACAAAGAAGTCCAACTGTGATCGTATTTAACTAAAACAACTTTATCTCTATCTTCCAAAACGAGGTGATGTGGAGAAACAGGTCACTATGAGTGATAACATCACAATCCAAGTAGATGTGAATGATGTTTTCTGTGAGATTTGGTATAGTAGATAAGACAGTAAAGCAAATAAGTTAGTTTTGGTAGAATTACTATTTGTAATTGCTTTTAATATCTGGGAGGAAAGAAATTAATAGATTTCTTCCAGAAATAGTCCTCTAAATAAACAGCAGCATTTTTTAAAAAAATGTAACTGTAATTGAAAATTTATTTCAAAGCAAACTAAGATCTTGTGCAAATAAACAATACCATGTTTTCCCAGTCATCATGACACTCCTTTAATTTCACGTCATGTTGATGAACAGTACCATTAAGTACAACTAAAGGGAGAAGACAGATCAATTTTACAATGACCCATTCTATTATAGACACTTGTGATTTTTCTTTTCTTTTCTTTTTTCTTTCAGTATCAAGGCAAGGCATTATCAGTTACAAAAGAATTTGCAGGGCTACAGTCAGACACCAAAATTATCTTTTCTAGTTGTTTTGAAATGCATAATTGCTAATAGCCTGTTCATTAAATTTGTATTTTCTATTTCATTTAAGAAAAATCCCTTCATATTACCACAGCTTGTTTGACTATTTTTATAGAATGAGCTATAATCACATTTTGGAATAATTTACAAAATTACAACAGTTTATTACTTTGTAGCTTACCTCAAAGTGGGCAAAATTAGATCTAAGTTTTTGTATAGGACTGCGCCAAGAACAAATACAGATGATTCATCTAATTCTAGAAAGAATAAATTTTGAAGTATTAGCAAACAGCAAGAAAATACTATGTCTTATAAAACTTTAATCTGCTAATTACAAGATAATTCCAGTACTTCCTTAGGCAAAGATAAAGCCTGGTAAAAAGAAATGCATTCCTAACCATGCACATTAATGGTAGCTCTCAAAGATGTGTTTTCTATAGTTTTGCATCACGAAGGAAACTTCCTTTACCAGGTTGAGACAAGAAGCTGCCTTAGTCTCCATTTAAGAGTTTAATTTCCCAACGATATCAGAAAAGAGAGCCAATTCTCTTTTGGATTTTTACCTTTTAAGGTCGACATCTGCAAAAGTGAGTACGATGTCACTTTTGAAAGGAGCCATTAATTTTAAAGGCTATTAAAAATGTTCTAAAAACTTAATTTTTTCTCAAATTTGTTTTCTTTTAAACTTTAAGTTCAGGAGTACATGTGCCGGTTTGTTACACAGGTAAACTTGTGTCGTGGGGGCTTGTTGTACTGATTATTTTATCATCCAGGTATTAAATTTGTTTTTGTATGCCAAAATAATATCTTCAAACCGAAGCAAATTTTAATGAGGCAGAAATAAAAATGACATTGCATGGAAAATACAACACATTTCAATAGCTAAAGGTAAAATATTAGTCCACATGCTTTATACGGGTATAAAACCATGAATATTGAAACTTGACCATGTCAAACTCAGGTCGATAATTTGCACTTGTATATTTTTCATACTGTAATAGACTGTTTTCTTCAGTAAATTTTCAGAGACTCTGAAACCGAGAATAAGTTGTCCATATTTAGAAAATTAGTTTAAAATAATGATTACAGACTATTTCTAAACTGTTTAATGTATGAAGATTTATACCTAATTTCTAATTAAATGACCTTATCAAAAATGTCTTGTTCAAGCTCATATTATTTCAGATATTTACCTTTTGATGACACCGGAGTGAAAATGCTTTTTGGAATTACTACCCTATCTTCTGAGTTTCTTGCCCAGTCAACCATTCCCTTCCGTCCTTTCATTGGAAAGTTGATGTCTGTTAGAACAGAGGCTGCAGGAAGCTTCTGAATACTAGCCACTATTAAAAAAGAAATAATAATTTCAATTAAACTTGCTTTACATTTTAGTGTAATCAGTGTTGATCAAGGTAAATCTTGCAGTATATTCAAAATAAAATTTCAAGTCAAAATTGTATTTATCAGAGCAACAAAATAACTTATGTCTTATTAGACAAAATTTCTCATTAAAGTTGCTGAATTTTACTTATCAGTCTTAGTTTTTGTTGCTTTCAGTGGGTATCATACAATGGTGGTCAATAATGGAGTGGATATTCTGAGAGTATTAACAGGCACTGCTATATTGATTGTTCATGGTTGGTCTCCATTTTAATTGTTAGAAACTCATACTGTATTTTTTAAAAACATTCTGATTAACAGACTTGAACTAATGGATTGAAATTTGCATTTAAACCTGAATTTTGTCTTAAGAAGAAATTTTCTGCATTTTCATTTGAACATTGTCTTTGGAACAAACTTTTCATGGATTAGATAGGGTACTCTGAAGAAATGGAGAACAAAGCCATATTACTTTGGGAGATAGAACTGTCAGAATCTATATAATAAAGGTACCAATAATGTCAGAGTTGCAAAACCAAAATAATATGTAGAAATAGTGATCAAATAGATTAATAATAATTCTTAAAACTTCTCTCTAAAATTGAAAGTAAAAATGTGTGTGTATAAATATATATTATATAAACAGAGAATTGTGTCCTTAATACCAATAAATATTATAATACATATCAGAAAATGTATGAATGATAAGTTTAGTAATACTTTAATATATTTTATTATATTTAATAGTTATATACAAATTTATATTACATATAAATTTATAATGTGTAATAAAACTATGATGATAAATACTCCAGCATGTCTAGATTATAAGCATTTTCAATAATGAAGTGTAATTTGTAAAACTTTTGGATAGGTCCACACTTGTTCTATATCATATTTTCAAGTGTCCCTTGGAGAACTTATATGGAAACATGATGCAGACAATTGTAAAAGCTATTGCAATTGAAAAGCTAAAGTAAAAATTCATTGGCTGGGTGCGGTGGCTCACGCCTGTAATCCCAGCACTTTGGGAGGCTGAGGTGGGTGGATCACGAGGTCAGGAGATCGAGACCATCCTGGCTAACATGGTGAAACCCCATCTCTACTAAAAATACAAAAAATTTTAGCCGGGCGTGGTGGTGGGCATCTGTAGTCCCAGCTACTCGGGAGGCTGAGGCAGAAGAATGGTGTGAACCCGGGAGGTGGAGCTTGCAGTGAGCTGAGATCAGGCCAGTGCACTCCAGCCTGGGCAACAGAGCAAGACTGCGTCTCAAAATAAATAAATAATTCATTACACTCCTCATAAGTGAATTTCATTTAAAAATTTGTAATTTAAATCAGGAGGATGAAAATTAAGAATTTAACAATATTAGTTGTATAAATATATTACTGCACTACTTAGTTTCAAATTAAATTGGTTATGTATTAGTATATCACATTAGTGAAATTGTACTTTATTAAAGTTCTTTCAGGTGATTAGTCATTCCATTATCAGCATAGGATGGTATTTCATTTATCCTCTAATATGACATACTAAGCTTTAAAAAGTACTTTGTAAGTAATGTTAAAAGAAAGAAGATACTGGGTAACACATAAATAAATTATAGATGTTAAATGCTGTTTCGGGATACCAGCTCTAACATAGTTTCTTTAAATTTTAAAACAATATACTTTTTGCTGTCCATAAATAATCCAGTTCATCTCTCCTGCAGGGTCCAAATCCCTGCTGTATATAGATGAGCAGGTCAGCAAGTTAGTAGGACATTCTTTCTTGAGTCCTCTAAGCATTATTCAATGTGTAGAATCACGTGTATCTACTGTTATATGCCTTAACTCTAACTTTTGATGTCTTGGGGTTTAGAGGAAAGTTATTTCACTTCTTTGCTCCAAAAACTGCTGAAAAGAAATAAAGATTTTCTGACTGCCATACAATTAGTTTCTATTATAAAAGAGAATAAAAGATACATTATTCGACCCTGAGGTCTAATAATTTCTCTGTCTCTATACACATTAGATGGAAAACAAAAAACAAACAGAAAGGCATAACCAGTGGATGATATTCTGTATGAACCATACATCACTTTACTCATAATAAATGCTCGTCTAATACCATATTCATAAATCCATAAATTGATATAGTTGTACATGCATGGGTCTTACTTTATGAAATACACTCATTCTTCAATTAGAGGTACGTTAGCTGTTAAATTATGATTATATAAATTAGACTGTACTTTTGAACATAGTCTAGATTAAAGGAATGGAAAAATCAATTAGGGTCACTAATTTATGCAATAAGTCCCTTAAATTGCATAGTTTTCAGTGTGAGAAGTGCACAAAAATAAACACGTATTTATTAACTACAGTAGGAATGTAATGGAGGTTTTTACTATTATAAGTATGTACACATTCTAAGTGGTTTGAGATGTCTGCATGGATGGTAACTAAGATCCTGAAATATGTCTGTTTCTTAAGGTATTTTATTTCATTTTATTTTTAATTAGAAAATCAAAATAGTGTATAATTATCATGTAAAGCATGTTGTTTTAAAATATGTATACATTGTGGTATAGCTAATTTGAGCTAATAGCATAAGCACTACCTCACATACTTTTCATTTTTTGTGTGGTGAGAACACTTAAAATCTACTCTCTTAGCAAAATAGTTCTTAAAGTAGTATGAATCTTTCAATAAATCCATTATGAAAAGTATATACTTTCATACACTGATGAGATTCAAATTATATCTGTGAAATTATCAATATACATGTTTTTACAAATATGAAATTTAAAGTTATACATATTTACCTCTACGCTAGATAGGCAGATGTCTAAAATAGCAATGTGGTTCTTTATGATCCCTTAGTAATAGATGAGAAAACCTATTTCCATGTAGCAAAGGTAATTTATAGATGACTTTTACTTCTTTTTCCAGTTCTTGTACAAGACACTAGAACAATCCGACCTTCAATCCCTTTCCTTCTTCAGAGTTTAACTGTCAAAACACTCAGGTAAAATTTTGATGCTGTTAACATCTTTAGGGAAATAGGAAGCTCATATGTTAAGTGAATACAAAAGAGGTAAGATTTAAAAACGTAATGCCTTAAACTACATGTAAGTAAATATGTGCCTCATGCTGATAAAGGGACATAAATAAAAAGCATAAGTGCATAATCTATATATCCTGCTTCTGTAACAATTCCTGAATTAAAACCAGTCATTGTGGGTGTTTAGAAGATGGGGCAGCTTTCTTCAAACATTGAAAAAAAGCCTTTCTTACAGAATATTAAAGTACTTAAAATAAATCTCAAAGGACTCAGTGTCCCTGAACAAATACGCACATCTTGAGTGCTACAAGAATTATCCTAAATTCACTGTATCGTGTTTTCATTACAACACTTGATTTGATTTCTTATGCAATAAAAATAGGTGACTCATCACTGATAAACCTTAGAGAAAAACCAGCTGCACTTCCATTTTGCAATTTTAATACTTTCATTTTGAATTTGGATAGGCAGCATAAAATTCCTTTAAGAGCATCATGTCTTTTATTGGCCAAACTTTCAAACGATTCAGGTTCAGTATAGATTTTTGTTCATCAGAAAGCATAGGGAATTTTTGCAGATAGGTTTAAAAGCACATGAGCTGTTTTTCTTGGTAACCAATGAGCACTTCTTTGATACATCAAAGCAGGATAATAATTCTAACCTTTTCCCTGAGGGAAATAATGAAATTTTGGCCCTTTGGCTGTATTGAGGTCCTGGAGGATGAGGAGTCTGTCTTATTCATCCTGGTTGTGAGTGGTTCACATACAAACTGGAGGTAATTTGATGCATCAGTTGCATTACAGAGAAGAATGGAAGGCATGTGAAAGAAAAAGTCTAGGAGCGAGAATGTAAGGGTGGAGGGATGAAGGCTGTAGGGATGAGCAAATTGGACAAAGACCAAAATATAAGAACAGTGGTCACTAGAGTAGCTCACACAGACTTATGATCTGGATCCAATATTCAAATCCCTGATTTTTTAGGGTAAGCATTTATCCTAGATTTTACAGATCTGTTCTGGTTTACTCCTGCTGCTTTGTTTTTGTTTTTGTTTTTGTTTTTTTGAGACGGAGTCTCGCTCTGTCGCCCAGGCTGGAATGCACTGGCGCCATCTCACCTCACTGCAAGCTCCGCCTTCCGGGTTCACGCCATTCTCCTCCCCCAGTCTCCGGAGTAGCTGGGACTACAGGCGCCCGCCACCACGCCCGGCTAATTACTCCTGCTGCTTTGTATACTTATTTATAGCATCCTCTATCAGTCTCAAAAGTTTCAGCTTGAAAGATAAATTCCATGTTCATCTTATAAGTTGTGCGACTGAGCAAATTGCCTAAACTCTCTGTGTCTCAATGTCTTTTTCTGTAACATGAGAACAATATTATCTATCTACCTCACTGAGCTGTTGGAGAGTAAAAATGTTACTATCAAGAGCTGAGAATAGTTCACCTAGAACAGTGTTTGGTGCTTGAATGGTCCCATGTCACTGTTGTCTATTATTACTGGAGCAGGTTTTCCAGTTATCAAATCCAAGAGAACTACCCCACAGTATGTCCACATCATTATAACATATTTGACTATGTAGCATACATTATTTTTTGGTTGTCCTTCAGTGATCCTAGGCATGAGATTATATATTCAAAACTTATGTTGATTATATTCATATAACAAAAGGCAGGAACTGCACTAAAAATAAATAGAGCTTCTCCTTTAGTACTGAAATGTACCACCTGGGAGTTACATAAGGGTTCCTTTTTACTTAATCTTCTTTTCTTTCTCTTTCTTTCTTTCTTTCTTTCTTTCTTTCTTTCTTTCTTTCTCTCTTTCTTCCTTTCCTTTTCTTTCCCTTTCTTTCTCTCTTTCTTCTTTCTTTCTCCTTCCTTCTTTTCTTGTCTCTTCTTTTTTCTTTCTTATAGAATCTGCCAGAGGGAAGGGGCTGCCTTATTTGGGAACACAAGATCAGCCAGGTTAAAAAAATATCTTGCCTCAATAGAGTGAGAGAATCACTGCATCAAGAATGTCAAATTCAGTATTTCCACTGCAGCCAAGACCATAAACTGCAAAGAGCATTTCAAAAGGATTGCATTTAAGCATCAGACTAAGTGGTAAACGCAGTAACTCAAGTTCCACAGCACTCAGTTGATTAAAGGAAACACTCACGCAATGGCACCTCATCACCATAAACAAATGTTGAAGGGGATACAAAATAACTTTAAAGGCTGTCTTAAAAACTGTCCTTTTTATTGTGGCCTTATACTGATGTTTTCAATATATTTGAAGTTTGCATCATTTTTCATGTTGATACAGAGGGAACAACTTACAAATGGAACCTTGTCTCATCAATAGTAGAAAATTGCCCAGTTATCAAAATGGAATTGCTTGTGGAAAACATGACTCAATATCACTAGATGGTCACCTGTACTGTTTTGAAATTCTGTAAGAAAAATATAGGGTCAGGAGAGAACGATGCATTGCCTCAGTGTGTTAGAAAAGCATCTATTTGTTTTGTTAGTGTATCCATACCAAGCACACAGGGACTGAACTGAATCTACATGTAGCATTACCCCCTTGGCATTAACAATTTCTTTTTAAAACATGACTTATATATTTACATAGCAATGCTAAGTACCTTGTAAAATACTAAAGGCATCTGGAAGGGAAGGGAAGGATAGCTAACATCTATTGAACGCTTGTATGAGTCTGGTAATCTTCATTCATTTCTTACTTCATTCAACAGTATTTACCAAATGCCTCCTCTGTGCTAGGCACTGTTCCTAGCACAGCATTTGGCCAAATGCTTTACACACGATATCTTAGTGTATTAGGCTGTTCTCGTGTTGCAATAAAGAACTGCCTGACACTGGGTAATTTATAAAGAAAAGAGGTTTAATTGACTGTCAGTTCTGCAGGGCCATGGAAGCTTCAGGAAACTTACAATCATGGCAGAAAGGGAAGCAAACATGCATGTCCTTCTTCACGTGGCAGCAGAGAGAGAAATGAATGCCCAGTGAATGGGGAAGTCCTTTATAAAATCATCAGATCTCATGAGAACCAATTAATTATCACGAGAACAAGATGGGGTGAACCACTCCCATGCTACAATTATCTCCACCTGGCCCCTCCCAGGACACATGGGGATTATGAGAACTACAGTTCAAAATGAGATTTGGGTGGGAACATGGCCAAATTATATCACTTAGTTAACATTTAAAACATCATGGCCAGGCATGGTGGCTCACATCTGTAATCCTCACATGTTGGGAGGCCAAGGCAGGAGGATCCCTTGAGCCCAGGAGTTCAAGTCCAGCCTGGGCAACATAGTGAGACCCCATATATATTTGTCAGGCATAGCTTTGCACACACAGCACACACAGCCTACTAGGGAGGCTGAGGCGGGTGGATCCCTTGAGCCCTGGAGGTCAAGGCTGCTGTGATTGTACTACTGCTCTCCAGCCTGGGCTACAGAGTGAGACTCTCAAAAAAAAAATTCCTACGAGCTATCTTTATTAGCAACATCTTTATCATTATTATCAAGATGCTCATTTTACAAATGAGGAGGCACACTGTGATTTTGCACTGTGTGGTGCAATGTGATTTTATGTATCAAATTGACAGCAAATTTATTTTGCCTCGTAACATTTTCTACTATGTATAAAAGACAGACATAATGATTTCATCTGAGAAATAAAATTCTCACTTATCAATCAGGAGATCATAACTATACCAGTAAAGAGTGGTGGTTATCAAAAGGGGAAATATATATATGCTCAGTTTAATTTGCCTAGCACAATCTTTATGTCTATGAAAAATCGTATTTTAGGATTTTGCAACAGTGATCTATAAGAAACATTCAGTTATCTACACAGACATTTCTACTAGTCCTCTGCACCCTACTCTCCTCATCTATTATTATCTCTTTCCCAAAAGGCTGGGATTGAAATGTTCAGGACAGAGAAAAAGAATAGGATTGCTGGAGAGTAACATGTAGCCATCACTTCCCTGGAAACAAAGCAGCTTAGGAGGGCATCTCCAAGGACCACAGTGCCCGAGAGAGTTCTAACAGCTCGATCTCCACCATCACCATTACATAGGTTAAGATCTCCAAGTTCCAGAAGTATCCTCACACAGAGCTTTAGATGGGAAACATTCTTCACCTTAGGAGTTTATACTTAATTTTTAAAGAGAAAGATTCTTTGATACTCAAAAGTACACAGACTAAAAGGCCAGTCAAGAAAGTAACTATGTAGCATTTTATGTGTTCATTTTTGAACTTGTTAGTTTTTAATAATGTAATATGTATATAGAAACTTTACTTAGCTATTTTGCATATTCCTTTTAGCATAGAAATGGTAAATAAACTTGTAAATTATTTGTGACTCATCAACTTCAAATTCTTGTTTGTTTTTTTTTTTTTTTTTTTTTTTTTTTTTTTTTTGTCCATCAGTCATTTCAAAGCCTGGGCATCTCTGGGTAGTGGGGCACATTTTTGCCTTTTGCTCAAGGGCTCTTTGCTAGACTTCAGTGCTCTCCATTGAGGACTCCCTCGGCTTCCTCTCAGGCCACTCCTACTTTCTCAGCATTTAATAATGTTGGTATACAGGGTGAATCCAGAGCCATATACCCAACTCTTGTAAGTTTTATTGGCATGCAGCCACACCTATTCACTTACATATTGTGAAAGTTGTCTAAATCGAAATGGAGTCACCTGCGTGAAGGAAAGAAAGAGAGAGAAGGAAAGAAAGAAAGAAAGAAAGAAAGAAAGAAAGAAAGAAAGAAAGAAAGAAAGAAAGAAAGAAAGAAAGAGACAGAGAAAGGAAGGAAGGCAAAAACCTGACAATAGAGTGGGGGAAAGCGATGAAGACAGGATTCTGATGCATAAATGCCTGATAAGAAGAAGAATCACAAAAGCCTACAAAACCCACAACCTTACACAAAGGTCACTAAGACTTTACACAAAAATATGCTGCTGCAACAATAGCTACCCAGCAACTGTCTGTCTAACCTCAGACTGGCACCACTCTCATTATTGATCCTCATATATAAATATAATTATCTCAAAACGATTATGTAGGGCCGGGCATGGTGGCTCACACCTGTAATCCCAGCACTTTGGGAGGCCGAGGCGGGCGGATCACGATGTCAGGAGATCGAGACCATCCTGGCTGACACAGTGAAACCCCATCTTTATTAAAAATACAAAAATTAGCTGGGTGTGGTGGCACGCGCCTGTAGTCCCAGCTACTCGGGAGGCTAAGGCAGGAGAATGGTGTAAACCTGGGAGGCAGAGCTTGCAGTGAGCCGAGATTGCACCACTGCACTCCAGCCTGGGCAACAGAGCAAGACTCCGTCTCAAAAAAAAAAAAAAAAAGAAAAAAACAATTATGTAATCTTCCTCATTTTTCCTTTAAAAACCATTATCTTCCTTTCCTATTCTGAATATGCACATAGTTTACTATGGCATGCTAATTCTCATTGCAATGCCCATTCATGAATAAATATTTTTATTGTAGAGAGCCTCTCTCTTTTTGTTATTTAGATTGACAATGTTGTTCCTGTCTACTTTCATGCTACAATGGCAGAGTTGAGTAATTGCAATGGAGACTATGTGGCCCATAAATCCTAAGATATTTACTATCTATCCCTTTACAGAAAAAGCTTGCCTACATCATCTTAGACATACGGTAGCCCTCCCCTTATCCACAGAGGATATGTTCCAAGATCTTCAGTGGATCTCCAAAACCATGGATAGTACCAAACTATATATATAAAATTTCTTTTTTCTTCTTCACAACTTCAAGGATAAAAGATTCATTCTTATCATAGATCTTAGCAAACTAAACATATGTTTTTTTTTTTTTCTTTCCTTATTACCTTGGAAACTTTAACTTTTTTCCTTAAAATAAGTACTTTGTTCTTTCTCTTTGGCATATCCAATTGCCAGTATCACTACTCTTTGGAGCCATTATTAAGTAAAATAAGGGTTTTACACAAGTACTGCTATACCTTGACAGTCAATCTGATAAACATGCTGGCTACTAAGTGACTAATGGGGGCATAGAATAGACAGTGTGGGCATGCCAATCAAAGGGATGATTCACATTTGGGGCAGGATAGAGTGAGATGGCATGAAATTTCATCATGCTACTCAATGGCACACAACTTAAAACTTATAAATTGTTTATTTCTGGAATATTTTCATTTAATATTTTCAGATTACAGTTGATAGTGGGTAATTGAAACCAGGTAAAGCAAAACCTTACATAAGAAGGAACTACTGAACCTTGAACAGGCTATTTTTGAAGATGATAATTATTCTTTAAAGAGAAATATCATTTAAGACTTCTTAGTTTTGTCACTTATTTTGTTATCTATTGAATGCTTATTCTTTTTATGCTACACATAATATAATGGGGAAATGTAAGGTGATTATAGCACCTTCCTTTTAGTTTTCAAGAAGAGTAAGTTTTATGGTCTTTTAGAAACAGATCCTTGTAAATGTTCATCTTCTTTACACAAGTAATTCATGATTTCAATCCAAACATGAACACAAAATAAAATGTGGTAGAATTCATTTTTGTATGTTTCTCTGAAGATTAAAAACAAATCAATATGGGAAATGCCTTAGGAAATAAATTCCCCCTCTTTCCTCAGAAAGTAAGACTAAGAACAGCATTCCTGCAGAGGAAAGAGCATTAGATGATAATAAACCAAGTACAAAACAAAGAGCTTGTGTATATACAGCATTATTAACTCACTGTGGTGTGTGTGTGTGTGTGTGTGTCTGTGTATTCATGATATCATATTTGATACTCAAGGTTGTTCAAACCTTATTAGAGAAATAAATCAGGAATCTAAGAGGAGTTAGGCACCAATGCAGGCAAAAAACAACAGGAGGCAAAAATACAAGGGCTTCCCAAGACAGCAAATCACTCATTCCCAGAAGAGCAGTGGCAATGAAAACTGTTATAACTTAACAAAGGAAAAGAGATCATTGTAGACAGAAGAATTCATTCTATACATGTATTTATCCAACAAACCTCTATTGAGCCCCTACAGTATTCCTTGGGCTATCCTAGCAATTAAGAATTTAACAAATGAACAAATACACCTGTGAAAAAAGTCTCCATCCTCATGGACTGGCATAGTATTTGGGGAGACACAGACAAGGAACAAATAAACAAAATGAGATAGAAGGTCAGTAATGATAAATGAAAGACAATGATGGATTTGGCTTGGGAAGCTATACTAAATAGAGAAAGCTTTTCATGTAAGCTGACATTTGTGCCGACACCTAAAAGAAGTCAGGTGGGAAGCTATGAAGATATTGAGAAAATGACACAATAGAGCAAGAACTTAGGAAAGACCCACTTTTAGAGGATAAAGGGAAATAAATAGGGAAAGATACCACCAAAATAAATGGTGAGAGACAGAAAGAGAGACAGGCAGAGAGAGAGAGAGAGAGAGAACAACAACACCACATTAACTTAGAAAGGGATAGTTTAATAATGAGAGGATGGTTTTATAAGAAGTCAAAGGCTTTATAAGGATTATATAGAATGAAGAACAGCCATTGGATTCAAAAAATGAAAAACACACTCTAAAATTAGTTTTAGGTTTAAATCATGCTCTATAGCATGAGTTGACAAACTCCTTTCTACAATGAGCTAAAACAGAAATATTTTCAGTTTTGTGGGCTATCAGGCTTCTGTTGCAACTACCTAACTCTGCAATTATGATGTGAAGGCAGCCACAGACAATTCATAAATAAATGATCATGCAAGGAAATATGGTATTTAATCATATAAGCAAAGCCAATATTGAGATTCTTTAATTCAACAAACGTTTACTAATTAGAATCCTTTATTTTCCACTACCAAAGCACTTTCTTCTGCAGTCTTTCCCATCTTACTAGAAGGTGCCACCATGTACTCAGACATTCAAACCACACATCTGGGGGTCATTCTTTACTATTGATATTTTCGCCCCCTACAACCCACCCATCAACATGTCTTCTTGCTGTCATTTCTGGAACATGTCTCCAATCACTGCATTTCCCTCTGTCTCCATACCATAACCTGCCAAAAGCCACCAGAATCTCTCAACTGAATTAATTTAAGAGCTGTCTGACTGGCTTTCTTTATTCTACTCCTGCCCCTAAATTCTTTCTCTCATAAACCATTCTTAAATATAAAGCAGATTATGACTTTTTCTTACTTGAAATAATTCAATGGCTGGCCAGCGCTCCTAGAAAAAAATCCAAATTTTATGCCTTGACCTACAAAGCTCTGCATGGCTTGGCTCTGTACGTCTCTGCGGTCACATTATGCATGGCTGTCTTGTTTGGTGACCATGACTAAGATGCACAGATCTTTTCTACCACAGGGCTTTTTCTTTCTAACTAGAACATTCTTTCCTTGTACTTATCCATGGGTCTCCGCTAAATTATTTTTTCCTTAGCTTGGTCTGTCCTAACTACCCCATATAAAGATATCCAAGCCCCCATTTCTCTCTATTATGTAATTTTTTTTTTACATAGACTTACTCATTTTCTGCCTCCCACGCTAGACTTTAAATTCCAAAAGGATAGGCATTTTTCTGTATATTGTTACGTGCTAAGATCTTAGCATATAGTGAGTTTGGTGCAATAACTGTCCACATTTTTTTTAATAGATGAGGTTTAACAAGGGCTTAATTAGAGGCAGTGAGTTTAATATGATCAATTTGTGCCCTGGAGTCAACCAGGACTAGTTTTCCATTTACTTTGTGAACTTTGGCAAGTCATTTAATTGCTGTTCACTTTGACCATCTGTAAAAATCAGTAACCTTTCATTAGGATTAAGTTGGAGGCAGTTAACTCACTCCTTGTACACAGATTCAATTCATGCCAACTCTTTTTTATTCTTCACTTTAACCATTCTCTGCCTTGTATAAAATGCTGTGGAAGATCCGAAATTGAGAAAGAAAGAGTCCTTGCATTTAAAGAGATTACAATGTAGTGAAAGACATACTTCACACAGTATCTTAAGTATGGCCATAATAGGGATAAGACATTTTCTTCTTAACTCCAGACCTAATACTAAACTGTCTACTTGGACTTTTTCATTGAATTTCTTCAGGCATCTCAAATGTGATGTATCCAAAGCTTAACTCTGGATTTCCACCCACTCTTCATCAAAATATGCATTCCCTGTGTAATCTTTCCCATTTCCATAAATAGCACCTCTATCGACTTTACTCAAGCCAGAAATCAGTGTTACCCTTGACATATCTATGTCCTCACTTCTTGAATCCAATTCATCATTGTACTTACAGTTTCACTTCTAAAACATAGCTTAAAGTTGTCTTCTCATGCCCACCTTGACTGTCACACATTAGGCCATCAGACCCTATCTAAATTAAAACAACTCACTATGTTCCCTGCTTCCATTGTTGTGCCTTTCCTATTCATTCTCCACAATGCAGTCAGCATAGGTTTTAAGTATAAATTGAATCATGTTACTCCCAGGTTTCCCGTTATACTTGTATAAAATAAGAAATCCTTTTCAGGGTCTCCCCATCCTGGTCTCTAACTTCTTCCTCTATGTTAGCTCTTGACCTTTTACATTAACAATTACTCTTCAGTCATACTTTCAGTCTTTCATTTCAACCAACTCCTCTCTTGACTAATTATTATATCAGGTCCTGGCTTGTTTATGGATCTGTAGATACTTACTTCATCTTACTAAAATAAAACAAAAACAAACAAAAAAAGCAAAAAACCCATAGGTCCTATACCTTTTTCAAAATAGGGAGAACTGAAGTATGTGTGCCTAACCAAATGTAATTTTTTGAAGAGAGAAAAGGGGCAATAGCAGCAATAGAAGACACCATTTACTAAGCATTTAAATCCTCATACCAGCGAATTACCTCATTTGATGCCACAACACACTCTGAACCAGGCACAATTAATTATATTTTATAGACTAATTTTGGATCATAAAGAAGCAAAAACATATCTTAATGGTATTATAGTAGAAATTCATGAGTTTATCATTGGAATTATAAACAAAGGATGATGACTAATAAAATTAACACATCAACTCTATATTTGAAAACATCATGTCTTTCCCATATGAAGCAATAGACTATTAAGGACACTAAAGTTCAGAAAATAATTTTGGTCTTTGGATTATTAAACAAACAAATCCTCAAACAAACAATAGCTTACTCTCCAACCCCACAAACACACACTCTATGATCAAATTGAGTGTTCTATTTCACTTTATATAGTTATGCTCTTTTTAACTATATAAAATTTACCAGTGAACACTAATTGAGTTCCACTAACACTAAATGAGTGATGGTTTTGACTCCTTTTAAAACCATCCTCTCATTATTAAACTATCCCTTTCTAAGTTAATGTACTGTTGTTCTCTCTCTCACTCTCTCTCTGTCTTCCTCTCTGTCTCTCTCTCTGTCTCTCACCATATAGTTATATATTTATAGCTATATAAATATATAGTTATAATTTATATATAGCTATAATTTATAAAATATATAGCTATATAATTTATATAATTATATGTAGTATAAAATAAATTTATAGCTATATAAATTTTATATAGCTAAAAAGAGCATATCAACCAATTATAATTTTGTTTCACCTATGTAGTCTAAATTATATTACAAAATAATACATTTGCTTCTCTGTTAAGAAATTATTTAAAAATAAATATTCCATATTTCTAAAATTCTGTGATTTTAAAGATATTTTAGATTTTCAGAATACATTTTAAATACTATAGATGTTATTTGGGGGCAATAAGGTAAGTATTTGGAGTTAGGGAAAATTAAAAGACAAACAATCAGGGAATTAATTTGGAAAAAGCAAAAGGTGACTATGTAGAAAGTAGAGAGGAAGGTCAGACTCTGTAATAAAAAGTACAGATTCTTCAAAAGGAGGAAGGTTCATATTTCAAAGAGGAAAACTATAGCTAAATGGATATTGAAGATGCTTACTAAACATTTTATAGTAATAAAGAAAATGCTTTAGTATCTTAGTCTCAATTATGTATTCCCACTTCATTTGAGAACCCTGTTAATAAATTCAATGAGTCAGGTTTTGTCTGAATTCAGAATATATATTTGGGAATATAACCTATTATCCAATATAAATCACTCCCTTGTGAACAGTTCGCTTCTACTTTGTAGTCATCAGCTATGCCTTCAATACAGTACTGTCCAGTATAGACAATTATAAACCCCTTAAATCTTGTTATTGTAGGATTCTCAATTCAGTTTAACTTTCATTAAAACGTATCTTCATTCTTTAATGTAACTTTGAAAAAAGCCACCTAACTTTTCCTTAAGCCTGTAGTATGAATTTTAACGATATCTAAAACAACTGCATATCTGGTTCAAACACTGATAAATATTTTAGAAGATAAACACACAAAAACACATTTGTACCTGCTCTCTCATGTACATATGCCACATGTCAAAACAAAAGACCAAATTAAAAAAATATGCTAAACTAGCCATATAAGAAATTATTTATATTTCTAAAGTTAAAGCTGTTCATATGGAAAATTTAATTGCATTGCAAAAGAATGAAAATATTTTTGACTATTCAAAAGACTTCAGTTAAGGATAAAAATGAACTAATTCATTTATAAATTTCAGAGAATGTAGCAATACTACATAATTATTTGATGCATTTATAGAGATAATTGGCGAAATTTTGCAGATGATAGTTGATGGAGTATATGTTAAGGAAAAAAATACAAAATTAAAGCAGAAACTATTTATTTGTATGAATCATTCAAGAGAGCTAGGATCTGACTAATGACAAATAACTACAAAGAAGAATAGCTTTTTAAGATAGCAAAATGCCAAATGCCATTGAAATCTTCATGGGCCCTAACTGCCATTACACCACAGAAGACAACCATAAAACAGCTAGACAGCACATATTGTTTTCTAGATTGGTCATAATATCTGCCTAGAAGTCTGAGATCTGGGTCTTCTTTGTAAAGTACACAATAAGTATAATATTTATATATTTTTTAAAATGTAGGATACTAAACTTAAGTAGGAACTCTGCAAGTTCCCTAGAGGAGTGGACTGTGGCTGCAAGGGACTGAGTGGCTACTCAGTAACCAAAGTCACATATCAAATCAGTAGCACAGCCCATATTTGGCCTTGTGTTTGTATGTGCTAAATATATGTTACCTTTAATCTTGACAACTATACAGGAGAGATAACTTCCAGAAGGCTAGTTAGTCATGGTATAGTCAAGGTTTGCAGCCAGATGTCTAACTCCAAAGCTAGCATGTTTTAAAAGATACAAAAGGGCATCCCTATTTGCACTGACATAAAAGCACAGTCTTCAATCTGAGCCAGAATTTTTAGTTTTCAAATTCACATGAATACTTATTTATTTGGAATTCAGTGAAGGAAGCAAAGGAGGAAAGGAATAATTTAGTCCAGATTTCTTGGTATAACCAAACAAAATAAGATTTTTGAAAAGGTGAAATGAAATAGAAAAAGAATGAAAATTTGTTAAAGGGAGTCAATACCTCTTTTCTCTTCACGGGTTATTGTTAAATAGGCAGACCACTATTTCCATAGAGATGAGCAATTATTGCCATAGAAACAGTTAAACTGGGATTGTTTTTTATATTTACACAAACTCACAGCAGCATCCTTCTAGTTCATTTGTAGAGCAAAATTGAAAAGAAGGCATATAGCGTGATAACTTTACTAATTTCAAATCATTGCAATACAAAACCAATAAAAATCAGAAGTAATATTTTATAAAATTCAAAATTTGTTTTCAATTGACTTTAGATTTCACCTTCCCATTTATGTTATTGGTGTGACTCTACCAGATTTTGAAGGAGTTTATCTCGGAAATAACAATGAAGTCAACTGGGGAAGACCTATAATTCCAAGATCTTTCATATACAAGGTCTCCAGGGAAATAGAAAGCCACTTGCCACCTAGTTTCCCAAACAGTCTTTTTGCTCAATCCTATTTTTAAGAAAATTTTCCTAGTTAAAGTCCTCTGAAGATCTCTTGAACTGAGGCAAACCACCAACCCCTTTACGCAACACTTCTCTTTATACCTTCCCTAGGGCACACAGGTCATCAAAAACTTTTTTTGTAGAAATTCAAGCTCTTCATAGAGAATAAAGAAAACTGCCAGAACAGTCGCTCACATCTGTAATCCCAACACTTTTGGAGGCCAAGGTGGGAGATCTCTTGAGTCCAGGAGTTCGAGACTAACCTGGGCAACATGGCAACCCAGTCTCTACCAAAAATACCAAAATTAGCCTGGCGTGGTGGCGCATGACTGTAGTCCCAGCTACTCAAAAAGCTGAGGCAGGAGTATCACTTGAGCCCAGGAGGTGGAGGTTGTAGTGAGCTGAAGTCATGCCACTGCACTCCAGCCTGAGTGACAAATTAAGAACCTGTCTCAAAAAAATAAAAAAAGAAAGAAAGGAAAAGAAAAAAAGGAAAGAAAGGAAAGAGAAGAAAGAAAGAGAGACAGAGACAGAGGAAGAAAAGAAAGAAAGAAAAAGAAAGAAAGAAAGAAAGAAAGAAAGAAAGAGACAACTCAAATTCAAAATGTTTGTGGCTAGGTCTACATGTTAACATGTAAGAAACTCTAGAATTTTTTTTTTTTTTTTGAGATGGAGTCTTGCTCTGTCGCCCAGGCTGGAGTGCAGTGGCATGATCTCGGCTCACTGCAAGCTCTGCATCCCGGGTTCACATCATTCTCCTGCCTCAGCCTCCCGAGTAGCTGGGACTACAGGCCCCCAACCACTGCGCCCGGTTAAATTTTTGTATTTTTAGTAGAGACTGGGTTTCACCGTGTTAGCCAGGATGGTCTCGATCTCCTGACCTCATGATCCGCCCGCCTCGGCCTCCCAAAGTGCTGGGATTACAGCCATAAGCCACCAAGCCTGGCTGAAACTCTAGAATTCTTGAGAGAGAGAGACAGAGAGAAGAGAGAGAAGAGAAGAGAAGAGAAGAGAAGAGAAGAGAAGAGAAGAGAAGAGAAGAGAAGAGAAGAGAAGAGAAGAGAAGAGAGAAGAGAAGAGGAAAAAAAAAAGAAAAGAAAAGAAAGGAAAAGAAAGAAAAGAAAAGAAAAGAAAAGAAAAGAAAAGAAAAAAAGAAAAGAAAAGAAAATTAAAACCCAAAATGTTTGTGGCTAAGTCTACGTGTTAACTCGTAAGAAACTCTAGAATTCTTGAGAGAGAGACAGAGAGAGAAGAGAAGAGAAGAGAAGAGGAAAAAGAAAAGAAAACTCAAACCCAAAATGTTTGTGGCTATGTCTATGTGTTTTGTTTTGTTTTGCTTTATTATACTTTAAGTTCTGCAATACATGTGCAGGACGTGCAGGTTTGTTACATAGGTATACATGTGCCATGGTGGTTTGCTGCACCCATCAACCCATCATCTACATTAGGTATTTCTCCTAATGTTATTCCCTCCCCTAGCCCCCCACTCCCCTGACAGGCCCTGGTGTGTGATGTTCCCCTCCCTGTGTCCATGTGTTCTCATTGTTCAACTCCTACCTATGAGTGAGAACATGCGGTGTTTGATTTTCTGTTCTTGTGTTAGTTTGCTAAGAATGATGGTTTCCAGCTTCATCCATGTCCCTGCAAAGAACATGAACTCATCCTTTTTTATGGCTGCACAGTATTCCATGGTTGTATATATGCCACATTTTCTTTATCCAGTCTATCACTGATGGGCATTTGGGTTGGTTCCAAGTCTTTGCTATTGTGAATAGTGCTGCAATAAACATATGTGTGCATGTGTCTTTATAGTAAAATGATTTATAATCCTTTGGGTATATACCTAGCAATGGGATTGCTGGGTCAAGTGGTATTTCTGGTTCTAGGTCCTTGAGGAATCACCACACTGTCTTCCACAATGGTTGAACTAATTTACACTCCCACGAACAGTGTAAAAGTGTTCCTATTTCTCCACATCCTCTCCAGCATCTGTTGTTTCCTGACTTTTTAATGATTGCCATTCTAACTGGCATGGGATGGTATCTCATTGTGGTTTTGATTTGCACCTCTCTTATGACCAGTGATGATGAGCTATATATATATGTGTGTGTGTGTGTGTGTGTGTGTGTGCATTCTATATATCATATATATATATATATGTTTGTTGGCTTCATAAATTTTTTCTCTTGAGAAGTGTCTGTTCATATCCTTTGCCCACTTTTTGATGGGGTTGTTTGTTCTTTTCTTGTAAATTTGTTTAAGTTCTATGTGTTAACATGTAAGAAACTAGAATTCTTGGCCTGTATTATTATAGGAAATCTTAATTTTTGAAGTTATGGTTTTCTATTTGAGGACAGCTTTCACAATTCATGTCCAGTATAGAAAGATATACTACTCAAGCACACTCCTTCACCATCACTATCTCTGTTATAGTCATTTCATTCTTCAGTCCTTAAGCTCTTTTCTCATACATTGTACAGCTACAGCAGAAGTCAGCTTTTCCTCCACTTTTCCTATTGATTTTCCCAATGCTGCTCCACATTAATGTGCATTCTATATATCATACGTTTGCAACCTAATTCTATGTGACCTCCTTAGGTTTCTTTAGACTATGAGTATTTTCTTAGTAAATAAAAAATTCAAAAGAAATTATGTGCCTTAGAATGAAAGGTTTGGCCCTCTATTTATGCCCTCTCTCCTAAACAGTTGCTGAAGGGATGGAGACTGAAGGAGTAACAAATAAGTTCACTTTTTCATGATCTAAGATATGGTATAAAAGATTTATGAAAGCATAACTTGTGTAATTAGCCAAAAAAAGTTTCAAATTTTCAAATAAAGTGGATACATATGAAGAATATTAGCACAAAAGAAAACAAATGGTCAGGAGTCATTTTACCTTGATGTAGAAATATAGAACAGATGAGTATGATTTCCCTAGAGTCACATAATAAAAAAATTACACTGAAGTTCATTATATAACAGAAGTAGGTTAGAATGTGGTTGGCTGAGCAAGAAAATGAAACAAATCTTTGACTTTCAATTACCAAGATGTAAAGGGGAAAAAAATGCACCCACTCTGAATGGGAGGCACTGATGTAGGACAAATTATGTGGGTACCCCTCTCACCCAGGCAGAAAGGTTGTGAGGAGTAAATAGTATCATGAATATTTGTGAAAACATTAATTTGGGGCATGCTATGAAATATTAATGATGCTGTAACAAAACTTTTCTTAGAAAGCTTGAGGAATAAAAGGGGAAAAAACAAATAAAAATATCTTTCTTTATGTTGTACTCAAATGGTACTTGTGAAGGAAGTTCAGAAGTTTAAGGCTAGAAATTGGCATAATATGTGATAATATAGAAAGTTTAGAGCATTTGGGTTACTCACAACAAGAAAGAGTATTGACAACGTTTTCAAGTTTCTCAGGGACAAGAAGCATTATTTAATAGTGACACCATGAATAGTTGTGTCTTAGCATGGGTGTATAAAACAGATAAGATAAATTTAGAAATATTATATTACTCTTTTTTTCACAGCAGTTAACTTCTAAAAGAATGCAGCCCTACTAATAAATTGAAACATCATAACATGATCAGTGTTTTCGACATTAAAGTCCAGGGTTATAACTATGAGACTAGTTCTATTACACATAACATTTGTAAAGCTGTAGAGATGAAGATGTTTTGCAAATATATTTCCAACTTAGATAAGAAACTTCTATGGTATTCTTATTTTTACGTTTTTATTAAAAACAAAAACAAACAAACAAAAAAACCGAAAACAGCTTTCAAAAGAATGGAGCTGACTAGTTTCTTGCTGGACTTGGTTGAGCCTTAAGAGTTCTATTCTAAAGGCTCCTGGACCTTCCAATTAAAAAAGTCACACAAAAGTGGTAGGGAAAGTAGGAATTATTTCATTTGTTAGCTGGCAACTCAATATGAGTTACAAAGTCATTTTAATGAACAATTTCATTCTGGCTTTTGCCCAAGGATTTGTATGGTGGGATGATGACAGAATGCTGATGGCTTCTGAGGATAAAATTGCTCAGTCTCCTTGAGAATAGTAAAAATCAAATGGGCTCAAACCACAGGAGCAAGGATTTGGGTTGGAGTTAGGAAGGATAACATATTTTTAAAAAGCCAAAATAAGACTGCTTTGAATTCTAAACTTTACAGGCATTCGAATAGCTGCCAAAGTAAATTTTTGATATAAATCTGTCTTGCTTCTGTAGTTGGATTCTTGGAGATGCAGTGGATATATTTCCTTGAGTGCTCTCCTTCTTCCACACTCTATTTCTACCTACTGGTAAGCTCTTTCAGATCAACAACTAAAATATCTTCAGCATCTGACCCCTTTTCACTATTTCCACTGTCACTTGACCCAAACCTCTGTTCTCCCACCTGAGTAAGCACAGCACTGCTCTTCCTGTTTTCACTCAAGCGCCAAATAGTCTATTATAATATCTCCACCTCATAGTCAGAATGATCCTTTTAGTACCTACATCAGATGATAATCATGCGCCACATGATGTTTTGGTCACCTGTGGACCCTTTATATGATGGTAGTCACATAAAATTATAATGCAGCTGAAAAATTTCTATTGCTTAGTATTTACTATACTGTACATTTTACCATTATTTTAGGGTGTACTCCTATTTAAGAAAAAAGTTAACTGTAAAACAGCCTCAGGCAAGTCCCTCAGGAGGTATTCTGGAAGAAAATAGTGTTATCATAGGAGATGCCAGCTCCATGCATGTTATTTCCCCTGAGGACCTTTCAGGTGGACATGATCTGAAGGGGAAGACAGTGACATTGATGATCCTGACCCTGGGTACGGCCTAGGCTAATGTGTGAATTCATGTCTTGGGTTTACCAAAAAAAAAACTAAAAATCTAAAATTTAAAAATTAAAAATAGAAAAAAGTTTTATAGAATAAATACATAAAGAAAGAAAATATTTTTACAGCTGTACAATATGTTTGTGCTTTAGGCAATGTATTATTACAAGAGTCCAAAAGTTAAAAAAAAGTTTATAAAGTAAAAGAGTTGCAGTTAGCTGAAGTTAATTTATTTTTGGAGAAAAATATTTTTTTAATAAATTTAGTGTAGCTTATGAGTACAGTGTTTATAAAGTCTACAACAGTGAATAGTAATTTCCTACACCCTCACACTCACTCACCACTCACTCACTGACTCATGCAGAGCAACTTTAAGTCCTGTACGCTCCATTCATTGTAAGTGCTCTATGCGGGTGTACCATTTTTAATATTTTATACCAAATTTGTACTACAGCTTATCTACGTTTAGGCACACAAGTATTTACCCTTGTGTTACAGTTGCCTACAGTATTCAATACAGTAACATGTTGTGTAGGTTTGTAGCCTAGGAGCAATAGGCTATACCCTGTAGCCTAGACGTGTAATAGGCTATACCATCTAGGTTTGTGGAAGTACATTCTATGATGTTCGCAAAACAAAATAGTCTAAGGATGCATTTCTTAGGATGTATCCCCTTAGGTAAGTGACAAATACTTGTTAAGCATTTTGCATTCCTTTCAGACCTCAGACAAATACCTTTTAGCTTCACTTCCCTCTCCCTTTCTGACTTCATTTCCTCCCACTGCTCCTCCCTCAGCTATTCCAGCACTAGTGGTTTTCCCCAGTTCCTCTAATATATGAAGCACATGGGTGAATCATGGCCTTTCTGCTTACTTATTGTTTCTTCTGTCTGAAGTGTTCTGCCCCTACATATCACTGCATCTCATGCTCTAAAGGTTCAGTTCTATATTCAAATACCGCTTTGCAGATGAAAGGCCCTCCCTGGTCATCCTCCCTGAAATGACACTGCTCTCTTGACTCGTTAACCACTCACCCTGTCGACTGCTTCATTCCTCTTTTAACGATTATAACCACTGGGCATGTTTGATGGCATGGTTTGACATCTGTATCTCTACCACAAAACATAAATTCCATGAGAGCAAGAGGTTTGTCTAATTCATTCACTGAGACATCTTCTAGGACAAAACATGGCAGATATTTACTGAATAATTGTCTGAGACCTCTTAAAGCTGGTTAAATCCATGAATCATTACCAATCTATTATACTAGCACTAGGAAGCACCTCAACCTGGGGTTCAGTTGTGTGCAAGAAAGCCCATTACACACCTGGGCAGTTTGTCTTGTTTGCTCCTAACAGGGTCTGATATAGCCTTTCACAATGTCACCCTCCCCAGTGCTTCCACCCCAACCATGTGGAATTAGAGGATCCTAGTAAATACCATGAGATAATTTCTATGAAATGAGAAGCAATCAAAGAACTCTACAGCTGCATATCAAAGTTTAAAACTATGTTTGAACTACTTGTTTTCTCAGGAAACCAGTATGTTAGCACAATAAAGAAACAGATATTTTTTGTTGTATTTTTTTTCCTGACCTACAGAAAAATACCCACTAGCTTCAGGTGTTTAGCAAGGGTGGTAAAGAGCCAGAAGGCAGAGATAGAACTTAGCACATTCAGACTCAAATCTAGCTGACTGAACTGACGTCAGGTGCCACAAATAAACATACCAAAAAAAAAAAAAAAAGTTAAATTGTGTATTTTTCAGGCGTGATGTCAACAGACTACAAGTGTCTCATTTTTAATGAAAGGAAGTCAAACAAGAGATGGGGATGTGTGAATCACAAAACTAAGCAGCGACACAAAGGAAAATAAAGCCTAGAAAGAGAAGCCACTATATTTTAGAATAATATTGTCAGACTGAAAGTTGGTTTCTCTATTAAAGAACAAGATATTCTACCAATGAAATTATCAAGTTTGCCAGTGAATATAAGAAAGAACATAGGTTTGGTGCTGATGAAAAGGCATTGCACAGAGAAAGGAGATGTCAACATTGTATCACACCATTTTTCAGGTTGAATTTGGATTCAATTTCAGAAAACATCAACTATGAATTTTCATCCTGACAAACTTAATATTTATTTTATTTTATTATTTTTTATTTTTTTTTTTTTTTTTTGAGACGGAGTCTCGCTCTGTCGCCCAGGCTGGAGTGCAGTGGCGCGATCTCGGCTCACTGCAAGCTCAGCCTGCCGGGTTCACGCTATTCTCCTACCTCAGCCTCCCAAGTAGCTGGGACTACAGGTGCCCGCCACCACGCCCGGCTAATTTTTTGTATTTTTAGTAGAGACGGTGTTTCGCCATGTTAGCCAGGATGGTCTCGATCTCCTGACCTCATGATCCGCCTGCCTCGGCCTCCCAAAGTGCTGGGATTACAGGCGTGAGCCACCGTGCCCGGTCGCCTTAATATTTAATATTTTCTAAACCAAGAAGACACAGTAATATTTACCTTTTCAAAGAAAAATATCTTACTTTAATGCTTTCAAGGCACTAGCCTTATTGGATTACTGGATAACTAAATTGATATGTTTTAGATTCTTGTATCTGTTAGGGTTTATATATCAGCAGAACTTTTGAAATTCCTAACAACTAATAATTATAGCATTCTGTATTTGAAGATCTTATTTAGCCTAAAACCATTCCCTTCTTATTTGATATTTTCAGCATCAAATAATTCCTAAGGAACAGTTGTGAAATAGCTGTAAGTGGGTGTAGCAACATTCATCTATCTAAAGTAAATTCATAAAGATTACTGTATCAAAATTTTATGGGTGTAATCCATTGAAACCACATAAAGAGCTTGAACATTTAGGTCCTGTTCACTGTGTCTGCACTTTTCCTTGAGAATTTTCATGTTACAGAATTGAGAATCCCATAAAGTTTATCTTAACTTAAGACACTGAACTTTATTAGCAGTTGATATTAAGTAGAGCGATCAATTTGAAACGTTCTCTCCATTTTATTATAAGACACTGATTTTATACTGTCTTGTCCTGGAACTCCTTATACCTACTACCTCTAATCATTATTACTCTGACACCAACTTTGATTCTTTGTTTTTAACGTAGATATCACCTTACGTCTCTTCTATTTTATTATTGTATTGATAATTGAAAAAAACTTTTATGACTTCAACTATCACTTTTATGTAGTTGATTACCAAATGTGTATTTATAGATTTGACTCCTCTAATAAAATCCAAGTTCTCATTTTATTTTTTTCACTTGGGGGCTATACTTGTCTAAATATTAATATGTCAAAAATACTCACAAATTTATGTTGAATAAACATAATATCAATCCCTCCACTATCTCTCACACCCCAGTCAGTTATGGAATCCTATCAATTCTAGCCTCAGACAGACTCTCAAATTCATACCCACATGTCAGTTCCTATTCTTACCACCAGCAATTCCTGTCTTCATTGTCTCCTGCATGAATTACTATTAAAAGCCTTCTATCTACATTTGGACTCACTGTGTTGATGGTGTTTCCCAACTTCAATCAATTCTATTTTCTCATCTTACATATGTTCTACCAAAGCACAACTCTTGTCAGGTAAAGATTCAGTGACTCCCTATTATCTTTAGAATTCAGAACCATGAATCAACATGCCTTTCCAATTTGATTTTACTTCCTTCACTTCTATACATATGTGCTTCTATTAAAATAGGCCATTTTTTTCCCCAAGCACAATTTCAACTTTGACATCTCTATATCATCTTTGCTAAAAGAATGTTCTGGACTGTAACCATCTATTTGCTATTCACTCTTCTTTATGTTGACTTATCAATAATCCAGCCATTCTTCAAAGTCTACATTAAATGCTTCCTTCTCTAAGAAGTTTTTCTTGATCCTTATACAGAACAACATCTCCTGGAATAAAGCACTAACATTTGGCTTATGTGACACATATCAAAGTGTATTTGATGTTTATTTATTTATGTAATTCTTTTCTGTCTACAACTAGACCGCAATTTTCTTGCAGGCTAGAAGATTAGACATTTATTTTAATGACCTGAGTCATTCAGCAAAGGCTTTGCTTACAGTAAGAGAAAAATTATTTTTGTTTTTGCTTGAACATAGTCAATGGGAGAGTAACATGTGACACATCACTGATCTTCCTTGAATTCAGTTCAATGAATGCAATTCTAGTTCTAGGTTCTAAACTAATACAATTAATTTCTAAAGAATAGGATATTCTTATCAATAAAAGCAAATGTAATATGCTATATGAAGCTATTGTGAAAAATATATAAAAATATATAACTGAAAATATAACCAAAACTATAAATCATCACTGTAACTTTGGACAAATCGTTAGAACAATATAGTCCCATTCCCTTGCCTTGTCATTCTAGTCATGTCAGATCTCATACACTCCATTTTGTATTTGGAACTGCAAACAGCTGGACCTCAAAATAATGTACTTTTATCCTTTTCAGGGCTTCATGTTATTTGTTTTATGCTATTACCGCAAAAGAAATCCAAATACTTTCAAGCCATGAGTTTAGATTTATCCTTTGAGTATATTTTACACTGTAGTTAATGTAAAATTTTTAAAGGAATGAACAGTATCAAGAAAGAGTGGTTAGCAAAGCACAAAGGATGTGAAGGATGAAAAATGGGAGTAGATTTATTTGGCAATTAGAGTTTCTGGAAGGCTTTTCAAATAGGAGCTTCAGAAAGATAATAAGAGAAATAGGATTGCAAGGTCCTTAAGGAAAAATGTTTAGAGGAAAAGTATAGAAAACAAGTTGAAATAAATCTTCAAATAATATTTTCATTGAAAAATAACTTTCTGTCTTGTTGAAAAAATAACTTTTTAAAAATATCTCATATTAAATAATATAAAGATATGGCCCTCCAGACCTAATTGATACTAATACATTTTTAAAATTATTGATATATTGAAAAAGTCACATGCTTTTCCTAAAACAAAAACCACTTACCTATGCAGATAGTTAAAACATTTCAAATATAATTTTTTTTAAAAAGAGGCATATTGAAAATTGAAATCTTTCATACACATTCATTCATACATTTATATAGTAATTAAACTATTTAGCAGAGCATTTAGTCTTTAGTAAATGCTCATTAACTCATGCATTATAACTTTCATGTGTTTATTTTAGATGTCATATACATATTTAAAAATGAAAACTAAATATTATATTGAAGCTTGATTATTTTATAAATTCATTGGTTTGAAATCTTTGTTTGTAGACTGTTTTTTTCCAAACCTCTGCTAAACGTTTTGAGATCATAAATCTTTTAAGAAAAAGATCAAAGCTATGAACATGCTCCCTATAAAAATGTACATGCACACATATATACCAAAATGTTCATAGAATTTTTTATCATATAAGAGCATTTCATTTATCAAAAGCCAATATAGACAGGGAGATTTTTCAGAAAAAAAGAAGCTTCGAACTTTTTCATTTGAACTATTTTTGAAGAAAGTCTTTCTAAAATATGTCACTCCTTTTCTGAGATTTTAATCAGATTCTAGGAACTCTTATCTTGATGAATTAAGGCCATGCTTTTAAATATAAATTATCGTCCTAAGTCTTAGAACTAATGCTCTCAAAGGTGAGACATGAGGTGTCATTTCTTTAGGAAATGACAGTAAGGAAAAAGTATTTCTTTGTTATTATTGTTCCAGCATTTCATCTATTCTATTTGCTATACATGTGCCTCTAATAGCACTGCTTCTGCTTCCAACCCATTCTATCTAATCCAGTAACTAGAAAACAGAAATGCTGAAACTATATTTAAAGTTGAAATAAAATAATCTATTAGTTCTGAGAGTCTTTTATTAAATTGCATGGTCATTTTGGCATTCATATTTGACTGTTCAACTCCTTCTTCCTTCAGGAGTGTACTATCTATAGTCAGAAAAGTGAGGCAGCTATACATATAGACTTTATGAAAAAATAATTTATAATCTCTCTAAAATACATTATGATTTTTGAAGTTCTTTAAGTAGTCTTAATCCAACACATTCTAAAGAAAATGGCCATAAGGAACAAACTTTCTTAGTTACTCAGTCTCTATTCATTTCTCACATGCTGAGTGCATGCCTGTGTTTGTGCATATATGTCTGCTCAATATAATGAGCAGACTGTTGGATAATTAATATTTGGACTTAGAATGTAAGACAGAATGAGGGCCAATTCACATGTTTCACAACTTTCTACTATAAAATAGTCTCTATTTATGTCCATGCTCAAAAACATTGGAAATATCAGACAAAACATTATAATGTTTTACATATATAGTATCAAATTGGATAACATAAAAAGTATTAATAGTAAGAGATCATTATTCATATTACTTAATTTGATACTAGTGTATACAATTTGGAAAACTCCTGAATACTATGGCGCATAACCCTCAGTTCTAGTCACCAAACTACAGTGTCAGTCAGTCCCTGAGCTAGCATTTGAGGAAATCAACAACAAATCAGATGTCTTTTGGGTAGTCAGTATAAATAATGTTTAGAATTTTTACTCACAGAACATAACTTTTAATATGGATAATTGTTGCTATATAAACAATCAGAAGGCAGAACAATCACACTATCCTCAGGCAAGATGGACAATGATATAGGATGATATTGACTTTATTTGCAGCATTCGACTGCTTTGAGTTATGCTTAATATACCTCTTACAGTTTAATAACATTTAAGGGAAGAAGGTAAACCTAGATAACATAATCTTATTGCAAAAAAATACACAATATTTTCAAATATACAAGCTTGGTGAGTCAAAGAAAGGTAAAGATGAATAAATGATTGTAATTTATGGACATTTATGAAATTTTTACAGCAAATAATACAGCTATAGAGAATGTGATACGCTGTGATTCTGAAACACAAATCCAAATTTAAGTTTAAATCCAATTTAAGTTTGCTAGACTCTGAGATTGGCTTTGTTTGTTATAGTTTTTATTCCAAACACATTCTGCACAAATGCCATGTATTGATCTGAGCATTCTTTTAATTAGCAATACCTTTTAGGATTAGATGTTAACATTTACAACAAGAAGAAGAAAACAATAGTTCTCTGTTTTTCTATCTCATTTTAACTCATAAATTACTTTACCAATTGTCCAATCTGCCCCAAGACCCTTCATAACTCATTTCCTTCCCTTAGGAAAGTGGTTCCGGCTTGGGTGACTAGCATCCCTGGAATCTTGCTAGATTCCTTCCACGTGCCTTAAAACTCATAGCTGTGATTGCTAAACCTTTTCCACAGACATGTTATACCGTTCCTATGGACTTTCTTTCCTTTATCTGCCCAGCCACTTTTATAATGGACATTTAATTGGGAATTTCTCTGATTTCTGAATTCATCGTTCAACAAAGATACCATCTTTTGTCTCTTTTTACTCTAATTGTCCATAAGAAGGTACAGCTTCCTCCATTACTGAACTGGCACAAGCTGCTGGACACCCACTCTGGAGAAAAGTGTGGGCCCTCCAATAGGCTCAGAAGATGCATTAAGATGTTAAACTCTCTGATTAAGGCCTGTGCTGGATGAAGAGGATATATGGGCTCCAAAATGTCTCCAGACGTTTGAACTATCCATTACATAGACTTTCCTCAAGTGAAGAATATTACCAGTAGTTAACTATAACCTATTGTAATCTGAGGTCACCCTGGTGGAAGATATCCTAGGATAAAATCAGTCTCTGCAGGACTTAGGGACCTTCAGAAGAAATTAAGTATAAAATGAACCACCAACAGCCTTAATCATAAAAAAAAATTATGTTCTCTACCAGCTGAACTTCCCTAGTTAATTCTCCCACCAAAGTAGGTCTCTTCCTAATCCAGAAACTAAAGCATAAATATCTGTGAATACGAATATAGGGCAAAATATCTTTATTTAAACACATTTCTATCTATGGTTCAGTGGTTTTTATGTTAAGAGTATTAAAGTATGACAAATGAAAGAAAATAATTCTGAATCACAGTAACATTATCAGAAGAAGCTTTAAAGAAATGAGAAAACTGTAAGCCTACATCAATTCAATGTGTATCACTAAGAAGGCTATTTCTTTGTGCTTGTTAATTTTTAACCACAAAGAGAAGTGTGTCATTTGGTTAATATAATGGTTGTTGCATTACAGAATCCACTACAGAGGGACCTGAGAGATCCACTGTGTACTGGAACATATTCAGAAAAACTGCATTGGCAGCAGTTGCACCATCATCTTAACCCTGGAAGTTATTCTCAAGTGTTCTACCACACACAGATTCAGCTCCTGCCTGGGACAATCAGTGAGAAAGTAACTCGGCATCCTCAAGAACAATGTACGGAAGATCATAAAGACTAATATGTTGTTTTTCAAAATTACTAGTGTGTATACACACACACACATTCATAACTAGATTAGATAGCAATGAGCATTTGGCAGAATGAAAAAATAAATACATATTATCCTACATATACATGTAAAGATACACAAAAATAGGCCTACAAGCAATCATACAAATGCATGAAGATAAATACAAATATACGCGTACATATATATAATGCAATGTGTTTAGGCCCATCTAAAAGTCAGATACCAAGTATTAGAAATATATTTGCTCACATGCAGTTAAACATATGAATAATGAATATTATACTTGGAAACGTATGGTGTAGATACTTGCAATTTTTTTTTATTTCAGAAAGATTTTGGGGGAAAATCCTATTTCTTACCTACATTTCCAGTCATTAAGTATGAATTCTGAAAGTCCATCATCCCCATTCCAACAATGTGTATAAAATCTTCAATCACCTGCATTAACTCTATTGACCCTGGATAAATCTAGAAAAATAAGCAAAGGTTAGAAGGAATAAAAAATCTATACATACAATGGCATATATAACTGAATTTTTTTAAACTACATGAAATCACAAATGAGCTTTGTTTCACTTCAAAAAAATCTACAGCTGCCAATAGCTGTATTTTTTAAATTAATAGTTGAGAATGACATCAGGTGTCACATTGGAGGAACTTTGGAAGTAATATGATGTAGTGATTAATCCCTCATAAATCTAAGGAAACTCAAAATATCTAACAGATTGTCTCCTCAAAAAATAGACGACTTTTCTTTTGATGAACTCTTTTCATCACTTAACAAAACATAGAACACTGAAATTGGGCTCTTTACATGTTTAGCTTGGCATCTATATGAGGAACACAAGAGGAAAAAGAGTTAATATTGCCACCATGAAGATATTTACAAACTATTAAGTTATTGCATAATAATAAATATCTTCAGAGAAACATTTATTGTTTAATAATTATAATGCCCACTGTAAGAATAATGGTAATAATTTTAGGATTACAATAATATTAATAGCCCTAGTGCATGTGCTTTACATGTACAAATACAAAACACACTTATGGGATTATTGTCCATATTTTAGGCAAGAAGAAGCAAGACCTCAAGAAGGTTAAACAGCATACCTAAGGCCATATTGTATCTTTAATAGTGGCTAAGCAGTATCTACCTAACTGTCCATCTATGCATCTATCCATCTATCCATCTACCTACTTATCTACCTGCCTACCTAGAGGACCATCTGCCTCCATGGTCCAAGTGATTTTTTCAACATCATGGCACCTCATACAGTACAAATGGACGAGTGTTTTTTTATTTGGCAACCTGATTGTGTCAATAGTTCATAGTGTTTGGAACATAAAGGCTATTGAAAATGTCACATGAATTTTCATGTGTATAACCCATAAAGCTTATAAAGTCATCCTGCATTATATAACCACTTTAGAGCAGAAAATCTTTTGAAGTCAGGTTAATTTCTTGTGGCCATTCAGCACCACTGCATTTTCTAGCCATGAAAAATTAAGTGGATTAGAGAGTTCTAGCTGCTTTGTAATCGCAAAGACTAGTGCAGAAGACGAAAAGGCATTCTGAATAATAGAAAAGCATATAGTCAGAGCTGAAAGGGATAGCAGGCACATGTGTATTTCAAAGGGGCTTGCGGTTGTGCCCGTCTAAAAATCAGGCAGTATCTACAGTATATTTACTCACATATACTTGAAGACATGAATGATGGATATTAGACTTAGACATGTATAACTGAGATAGTTCCAATTTTTAACTTTAGAAAGATTTGGGAGATAAAACCTGTCTCTTAGCTTCATTTTCAGTCATTAAACATGAATTTCGAAAGCCCATCATCCCACTTTCAAGAATGTGCCTAAGATTTTTGTTATCACCAAGGCTTCCTGCTACTACTGTATTTTCCCCTTATCTTTGTGTAGGTGCATATGTATATGAGTATGTGTAGTGTAATAAATACAAAGTAAAATAAGAGGCTTATTTTTTTGTGTTGAAAATAAGGGAAGAGTCTCTCCCTCCCTCAACCCCACTCTCTTCTCCCTTTTCTAAGAACATTTACTTTTGGAAAACTAGTAATTGTAAGCACTTTTTCTCTTTGCAATGCATGTCAATTTATTTAAAAGCTAAATAGTCTCCTACAAGCTTAAAGATCCAGGAATGTCTCTCTTTGAGAGGTAAATATACAAAAAGATAGTGCTCCTCTTTCTCAGTTTCTGTGAAAGGTAGAAGCCTAACTTCAGAGGCCTCTTGAATTTTGCTTCAAGTGGCAAAATTACTTCCAGTCATAAAGATATAAGGAGGTTATTTTTTCTTTGAATAAGGCCAATTAAGTAACAAGATGGTCACTGCCAATTACCAAGTGAATTTAGGATGAATTATGCGTGACAAAGGGTGCTCTTAAGTTCTCTTCAGAACTAGTTACCGTTTACCTTGAGGACACTGTTTGGCTATGTAATAGGGTCTTTGTAATCGCAGTGGATTGGCTATGATGCACATTACATTCTGGTTTACTGATTATTAAATAATGAATGTGTTTTTTTTCCCTTCTACCTTGGTGGAGAGATTTTTTAGGTTGGCTAAAGATTTTGTTTTTAATTATATTTCTCCAAGTGTAGTCAAATGCTATAGAGCAGGTTATAAAAGGTTGGCAAACTTTTTCTGTTTGCATATAGTAAACATTTTAGGCTTTGCAGGACATGAAGTCTCTATTGTAAATGCAACTCTTTCCTTGTCGCACCAAAACGACCGTATATAGATTATAGGTAAATGAATGGGTGTGGCTATATTCCAAAATATGATTAACAAAATAAGCCTCAAGCTGGATTTGGCTCACTGGCTGCAGTTTGCTCACTCTTGCTCTAGAGACATATGAATTTTCAATGTAATGACGAAATATCAAACATAATACATGACTAAAATGACTTGTCTTGACTAAACCGGACTTGTTAACTCCAGCCATATGGGTAGGGTGTAAAGTGGTGCTCTATAGAATGTAGTTTTTTTTTTTAACTTTAGTAGACTACATTTTTAGTAGGATGCTTTATCTAAACATAGTTTTATCCTTCATAACTGGAACTGATGGGTAACAAATTCTGAAATGACTATTCGAAAGAGTAAATTTTGTTTGCAAAAAACTTCCAATGTCAATAGCCACCATTTTACTCAGCTCATTTTCCAAACGTACACAGAGGTCTGTTCTACATTTACTTTTGTTGAGGCTATTACTCAAAAATAAGGAGACTCACAAGGATTATCTTTGATAGATTTTAAACAGCATCTATTTCCACAAAGTTCACCGTTTGTGCCACAAACTCAAGAGACCCATTCACCACACGGCTGCATTTATGACACCGCCTTTTAGTAAAAGCTGCAGAACAGGGTTGTTTTTGTTTTTTCAGCTTCAAATCGTTATTTCAAAAACAGCATTAAGGATCATTATTATTGGAAAAAATATTTTAAATATAAGAATATAGCTAACTCAAAATCTCAAGGAAATAGATGGATTATGAATTCAGGATTTTTCATTGACAAGAAGTTCTGCCACCATTCATTATTTGTTAAAGTTGGGACCTCACAGTAAATAACAGCATCTGATAAATTGCAGTCTTGTTTTAGATAGGATATTACATATTTCTTCTTAATATATCCATAATTAATAGTCTCTAGCAGCCTAGAAAGATGTACTTAGCCTCTGCAGCTGTATTCTAAGGAAAGACACCATCTTCTTACAGTGAGTGAATGAGGCTGTCCTCTAGAAGAAAGCCAAGGACAAATATGTAACTCAAATTGGTAGAAAAAAATAGATTTAAAGTATTAAAATAAGGGTTTTTTTTTCTGGCTATGTCCAGATGCATGAAATTTATATCTAATAATGAGGCAGCCCCACACTGGACTATTTTTAGAGCTCCTGTCACAATAGGATAAAAGGCATGCTTTACTCCTGAAGACCCAGAATATGATTATAAAGGGAAAACCCGAACCTCAGTAAATGTTCATTCTTTTTTTTTCAAGATTGTCTTATTTTTAACAAGAGTCAAATAGAAAACCTAAAGAAGTTTGACATCCAGTTAAACTAAATTTACATTTAATTTTTTAAACCATAATTTTTCTCTCTTTCTAGACTTCTAACCCACTTTTCCTGTAATTCAGAGGAAAACAAATTAGTCACTGTCTTATCAGTTAGGATACCACAAATGGCTATGCAAAGCATTTATAAACAATATCTAAACCAACAAGGTTACTTGCTACACTGATAAAGCATAACAAAAAGATTTTTAAAAAATCATAACATAATTTTTGGTGAGGCCTGATTTTTACAATTCTTGGCTTTGAATCAAAATCACTGTCTCTGTGATCCATATTATATGTAGCATTGTAGTAAATGCAAATGGTTTTACTAGTCAAAGCTCCATACTTTCATTTGAAATATGTACTTTTAGATGTGCTGTTTTTCCCATGGTCTACAGAAAAAAAAAAGGAACTTATTGGTTAGGTATATAATTATTACACATTAAATCCTTAAGGTTTTAAGTTGCTTAAACTTGCACAGCTTTTTTTCACATGTATAAATATTCCTTCCAGACTGGTATGGTAACGATCATTTGTTTCCTCAAAAATTACTAGGATATAACCTAGACTGACTTAAAAATATCTTGTTTTCCTGAAATAGCAAGCCATTAATTTAGTCACATATTTTTTACACTTTGTTTTGCCAACTTCAAGTTCTGAAATAACCCTAACCTTACCTGTTGTGCATCTTCCCATTTTTCCTTGTTTTCTTCATCTAGAAGGTTGCTAACTATTTGAAAGAAGTTCTGTAAATTAAATTAGATAAAAGATTTAATATTACATGAGAGAATTATACTTTTTAATAACACCCATTTGGGTTGACTACGTGGTAAAGGTATAAGCACTTTGCAATATTGCTTTATGACCCTAACATAGTATTCTAGAAGATCACTGAGGATCCTTTTACAGAACCGTAATTCTAGGATTTTCATATACCTTCATTTTTGTACTCTCAGAGGAGGTCAGAATAGGGAAAACACTTTCACTCAAAATTATTTGTTCCATTATAGTATCTATATTCCACTCTGTAATGTCATTGTGTAATTATTCCATACAAGTAAGTTTGATCCCGTCTGTAATGAAAGTCATCTGTATTTGTTTCATTACAAGTTGTCCTGTTAAATTGTGAGTTGTGGTTGTTATTGCAATGTTGTTTCAAAGAACACCCTAGTAAGACTATAGGCAAAGTGGAGGCAAGACAGGCTCCCTCAGTTGAAATCTTGACTCTGCCCTTCCTGGCCATTATACTTTTACAACTACCAATTGCAAATATTAAATAAAAGTTTCTAAGTTCCTGACATATCACACATGCTAAGAGCAGGTTTTCAAATTATTACTCTTTACTCCTCTGCCTTTTGCCAGCAAGCCAACATGGGAGAATGAATAGACATATAACATCCTTGCCATCATTCTTGTCTCTAACTGTTAAAGACCTATTGGCTTTATCTTCGCCTAGCAGTGCCCATTGGTTTCTGGTTTTTCTTTCATGCAGGAAGGTCATTTTGATGTTCATATTCCATTCACAATGGACACATTGACAGAGAGCAGGGCTCTGTTCAGTCCTATTTTGCAAGTGCTCATTTCACACATGAAGGATTTTTACCAGAGAGAGACTTTTCTTTCCCTTCACACTACACTGTGCCATCAAGACACAGGAACCAGGAGAGAACAACCAGCGTGCCTTTGAAGGCGAGCTGTGACTTGGGGGTCACAGGAGACCTGAGAAGTGTAAAGGGAAGGCATGACGTTTATCTTAAGTTGCATAGGCAGTGGTGGCTTGGCTGTGTTCTCAGAACCCATCTCGTCTGACTGTCTGTGTGTAGGTCAGCAGTAGCACTACTTCATACTGATACATTAACTTGGACCAGGACTCCCTTGAGGGCAGAAATAATCATAACTTGTTAGTCTCATCAGTCTTCCTCCCTATCCAGCTTCTCAAAACAGGCATTTGCACTAATTTCAAAGAAGCTCACCTGGGTGCTATTAAATGAAAAACAAAGCTGCTTAATTTCCTCTTCTCTTGTGGTTTGAAGCTGTTAGTATCTATATTTAATTGCCCTATTTGTGCTATTTGTTTTAATAGTACCTGGCAATCACATGGTTGAAACACGGTTTGAGTCATAACCTCTATAAAAGTTACAGAATATTTTATGCAACTCTTAAAAAACCTGCAAGTCTGTTTTAGACCCGTTTTTCAATTCTTTCAGCCTTTTTGTACTACCAGCCATTTTTTTCCACTTAAAATTTCCTGCTTGAAGTGTTAACATTTGAAGGGCTTAGTCCATTGAGCTCTAACTCTACCTATGGTCAGAAAGAATTAACCTTCAGAGTTCTCCAATTGCCTGTGACTGGTTAACTCAGTAGGGGACATGGTGCTAATGAGGCAAAAGTTGCAGGTTTTATCCCTGTACATGCCAGTTAGCTGTGCTGAGGTCCATGACCTCGGTCTGCATTCTAACCCCTGCCAGCTTTCATACAAAATGCATGCTGCTGCTAACAAGAGACACCAAGAGAACAGGAAGCAATTTGTGCAACTGCATCTCCATTTCTGAAAACAAAACAAAACAAAACAAAAACAAAAAAAAACATTTCACAAAGCATGTTTTGCTGACAGTGGGTCGGTGACTCCTTGCTGTACATGAAGGCCACTGCATACACAAAATTCCTTGATGAAGACAATAAATTCAGAGTTCAGTTCTTTTTTTAAATCACCAAAGGGCACACATAAAAAACACAAATTATTAAAATACATGTTGGGCCAACCAAACATAGCATTTTGTACTATTCTTCAAGCATTCTGTACTCTTCTTCAAGGCCAACAAATGTGGCTTTACTAAATCGGAGTGGGAAGGCAGTACAGAATAAAGTTATTTGTTCTCACTATTGATTAGACTTTGGAATAATCAGTAGTAGCGCCCTGACTAATGAAATCCATGTAGGGGCACAGTGAGCTAAGTCTGAATGTCTCAAGCAGTGGGGCAGCATTTATGGTGAGACTAAGTCTTTCTTGTTCATCAGTGTATCCTCAGTGTATATAATGACTTGCTCATAGCAGATATTTAATAAAGTCCTAAATTTAAAACAAAATTTAAGTTGCAAAGTCAGTATATCTCAGCTTCTCTTTCTTTTTTCTTTATTTTTCCAACTTTAATTTTAGATTCAGGGGATACATGTGCAGGTGTGTTACCTGGGTTTATTGTGTGATGCTGAGGTTTGGAGTATGAATGATTCCATCACCTAGGTACTAAGCACAGTAGCCAGTAGTTAGGTTTGTAGCTCCTTCCCCTCTCCTTCCCTCCCTCCCCACTCTATTAGTCCCCAGTGTCTATTTTTGCCATTTTTATGTGCATGAGTACCCAATATTTAGCTCCCACTTATAAGTGAGAACATGCAGTATTTGGTTTTCTGTTCCTGCATTAATTTGCTTAGGATAATGGCCTCCAGCTGCATCCATGTTGCAGCACAGGGCATGATTTCATTCTTTTTAATGGCTGCATAATATTCCATAGCGTACATGTGCCACATTTTGCGCCTCAGCTTTCCTAAAAAGATTTAGCACCATTTCTTTCAGCTGGCCTTGCTCTAACTTGTCTCACACATATAGAATATATATATACACACACACACACACACACACACACACACACATATATATGTATATATACACATACTAATACATACTGAATATATATTCACTTTGACATTTACTAAACTATCAGACTGATAAATAGAACCAAACCTAACAGAACAGCACTTTGAAGAGGAGACTCATGACATTTCAGGCCGCATGATTGAATTTTTCAAAGTATGAAGCTGCTTCTGTGGTAGCAGAGCCACTACTTGCCAGTGTTCTTTTAAAACTCCATTAATGGTGATAATAGTTCTCTTTTGATGATTTATGGATTAGGTCACTTATGTCAATCCCTAAAATAAAAAGGTCAACACCTTACAGTAAGTTTTTGTCTCATTTTTTTGCTTTTTTTTGTTTTTTGATTTTTTTTTTTTTTTTTAGTCAGCCTTGATCTCCATGACCTAGACTGATTTGAAAAATTGAGTGTCCTTGGCAGAATCTGAACTGTTTGGAGTTTGAACGAGGCAGACCCAGTTTAACATTTTCCCCATCAATTATTAACTGTATGGTTATGGGCAGATGTTGCCCACCTATGCTTTATATCTTGAATCTGTAATACAAGAGTAATAATAGCTACCTAGCAGAGCTATCGTGAAGCTTGGAGTTAATTCTTAACACAGTATCTGATGCATGGCAAGTGCTTGATATATGGCAACTTTATGATTTTATTCCCTTTATGTTATATATTTTTTTATGACTGGCTGCATGATTTGTATTCATTGCCGCATTATGGCAAATACGCACCTATAATTCTGATACAGCCTTTCACAACCAGTAGCATTCTCCTCTATCCTCTTTAATGTCTCTTCCTCTCTCAACAATATGTACAGAACAGAACTGATTCACTACTAACTCTGGGGAACATAATTTGTTCAGCAGAAGTCTCTTCTTTCTAAGAATGTGCTCTGGTGGGAGAGGGTTTCAGGGAAGTTAGTATTAGATACCTACTATGTGAGAGGCATTATGGTGAATGGTTGTGGTACACAAAGGTCAAAGAGGCATGATCATTCTTTCTTTGCCGGAAGTATTACAAAAATCAGGGCAATAAATGTATGCTATAAAAATAAGCATAAATCCTTCTGTGGCATTCAAAGTAGAGGCCCTAGATTTGGCTATACGAGACAAAAAGGACACTTTATTTTATGGAAAGCAATAAAAAATTCTGTTTTTACTTTTGACTGGCATCCACTTGGCAGATTTCTCATGGATTATATACAATTTTTTATAAATATACTAAAATATGTCTTAGCATTTTGCTTTTGCTGAATTCCTATTTCCATGGAAATAGAGTTGTAGATTAGGCTAGCAATTTCAGCCACAGGAAATGTGCTCTCCTCCATCTTAACCAGTAGCAAAGTGGTTGGACATCAAGGGACAAAGACAAGCCCTAAGAGTCAGATTTAGTAAGGTAGATCTGAAGGTTTAAAAGAATTACAGTGACTCTGACTAGAAATATAGGGTGAACTACAGAAAGGCTTAACAAACAAGGAAGCAGGGATAAGCCATTAGGATAAGGATGCATAACATAGGATAGATCATTGATCCCCAACCTAGAGATCAACTAGTTGATGGCTGCAAGGCCATATGTGATCCAGCCACTTCCTGTCTCTCCAACTTTATCTTATGCTATCCTGCCCCATACTCTATTTGTACTCCAAGTTCATTAGACTTCTTCATGCATCCCACACTCTTTTCTGCCCTGCCTGTAGAACTGTTTACATGCTGTTTGCTTTCTTGGACTGCTATTCTTTCTGTTCTATACTCAGACAACCTTTTATTATCCTTTATGTCCAGATTTACATGCAATTTCCTCAAAAGGCCTTATGAGATCATCACTCCCCCCTCCCCAGTTATACAGTCTGATATTTTCTTTTTCTCGTGGTACTGTGTGACCTTTTTTGGAAGTATATAGGATTTTAAGGTTATGGTTTATTTGTATGATGATTGGTTTAGGGTTTTTTCCTCTACTAGTTTATAATCAAGTTATTTCTATTTTGTTCACTCTTGTGCCCCCAGTGTACAACATCAGGCACAGCAGCATGTAAATACTCAACTATTTAAAACTGATGAATTACATGCCCACTGTGTGTAAGGAAATGGGCTAAGCATTCATGGATTTTTTTTAATAGAAAACAATAAATAGTTTATACCTAATTTCCTGCCTCTTTTTTGATTCAACACCCTCCTCTTCCAGTGATGATTTTAATGTTACCAGGGCTCTCCTTATGTCCAGGGAATAAGAGATGACACTTATTTTTACAGATAAGAAAACTAGTTATCTTGAGTAAATATGGGATCGAACTCTTCTTATTTTCAACAGCATTTGAAGACTCAACATCATCCTTGAGCACAAATACATACTTTTGAGAAGTTGTAGGACTACAGGAAGCAGCTGTGGATATTCAACCCTGGTCCTTAAACTCACATGCAGCAACAAGCAAGGAATGGGCCTCTTCTTCCATAAACCCACGAACTTCAAAAACCCAGTTCATCCTATGCCAAACACAAGGAACTCTCCCTATGCATCACTACCCTTACCCTGCTCCTGGCAAGATGCATTTGGTAGTACAAGTGCTGCTTTGTTCAGCAAAGGAATGGTATAAAGAAAGTTATAAAAATATCAGCCAGACAGTAAAGTCAGGGAGCTTTGGCAAGAAAAAAGAATGAAGAAAGGGCATCACTAGAAATCATTATCAATAGTCCAAAATAGTGATTATTAAGGCCTAAAGGAGAACAGTGGATGTGCAAATGAAAAAACGAGGAAAGGTATACTAAATACTTAAGCAGAAATGTATTTCTTTATTCAAGTAGTAGTCATTGAATGCCTTCTCTATATTTGGCTGTTCTGTTCTAAGTGCTGTGAATATGATAGTGAACAAGACATATGAGGGTTACTTCCCTCGTTGAATTTATGCTCTAGTGGGTAAAGAGAAGAAAAAGTAAGCAAATACATTTAAAAGGATGATTTCAGACAGTGATTGCAGCAGTTTGAATATGATGCCTCCAAAATTCAGCTGTTGACAATGTAATGTTATTAAGAGTTGGGGCCTTTAAAATGTAATTATGCCATTGAGGGCTCCTCTCTTGCAAATGGAATTACTGCCCTTATAAAAGAAGCTTCCTGCGGTGTTTGGCTAACACACCCTTCTGTTTTCCACTATGTTAGGACGCAGGGTTCCTCACCTCTTAGAGGATGCAGCAACAAGGGACCAGCTTGAAAGCAGAGAGCAGCTATCACTAGACAACTGAACCTGCCACCAGTGCCTTGATGTTGGACTTTCCAGCCTCCAGAACTGTGGGAAATATATTTTTATTCGTTACCAATTAACCAGTCTCAGGTATTTTGTTATAGCATCACAAATGGACTGAGACAGTGACACGAAAACAAAATAGGTTATAGGAATAGACTGAATAGGTCAGCAGGGTGTGTGTGTGTGTGTGTGTGTGTGTGTGTGTGTGAGAGAGAGAGAGAGAGAGAGAGAGAGATTACTTTAGATTAGATAGTCATCAGGAAAGAACTTTCTAAGAAGGTCACATTTGAACTGAGACCAGAATAATAAAGAGACAGCCACACAAAGACCTGAGGAAGAGAGTTCCAGAAGAAAAGGGAAGAGAATGTTCAAATTCCCTGGGTAAATGACAGTCTGAACAAGTTTGAGAAACAGAAAGAAAGATAACGTAACTAGAGTTGAAGAGGGGGCTGGGTGAGGTGAAGGGATGAAAATATTAATAGAGGGTGAAAATGATACACAGGGGTCAGGTAAAGTGAGGCTTTGATCCCACAGTGGTTCTATTACATGAGTTGTATTAAAAATCAAAGTCTAGTTTTGGCCACTGAGTGGAAAATAAAGTATAGGAGAGTAAGAGTAAAAACAGGAAGGTTAGAATTCAGTTTGTCTTAATTATTGAGGCCAAAGATGATGGCAGCTTGGTTTAGAGAAATGACATGACGACAGATTGCATGGGAGGAGAAGCACAGAATCAAAAGTCAGCCTTTCGTTCTTAGCCCAGGTAGCTGAGAATGATGAGTTAGCCATGCTACCACATAAGAAGCAGCAGTGTTGAGAAAAGAAAGTGAACTTTGTTTTGTTCAAATTGAGTACGAGGGATCAACAACATAGCTAAGAAAAGAGACCCAGTGGGCAGGTTTAACTACAAGCCTATAGCTCAAGAGGTAAAAATTTGTGAATAATTAAACTGGAGGCTTTTCAGTCAAAAAAAAATTTAAGATTATCATGACTAGAGCTGAGTGGGATGAAGTCATGGTTAAAACATTGAAGGTAAATTCATAAGAAGAGAAATAAATAAAAAAAAGATGACGAAGTAAGAAAGAAAGCAGGAAAGACAGGTAACAGAATAATATAAATTTTACATCCCAGCACTTTGGAAAGCCTAGGTGGGTGGATCTCCTGAGGTCAGGAGTTCAAGACCAGCCTGGCCAACATGGTGAAACTCGGTCTCTACTAAAAATAAAAAAAAATTAGCTAGGCATGGTGGTGCACACCTATAATCCCAGCTACTTAGGAGGCTAAGGCAGGAGAATTGCGTGAACTCAGGAAGCATAGGTTACAGTGAGCCAAGATCATGCCACTGCACTCCAGCCTGGGTGACAGAGCGAGACTCCATCTTAAAAAAAAAAGAAAAAAAAAAAGACTCTCCACTGCTGAGATTAATCCAGAGGAGACAGACCATTCTTTTAACTAGGTAAAAATCCAAAGAGTGTTCAAAATACAGTGTATAGGTTGGTGCAAAAGTAAATGCGGGTTTTTTTTCCATTAAAAACTGCAATTACTTTTGCATCAACCTAATAGTAGATCTCGTTTTTTTTTCCCCTGATGCACTTGGCTGATAACATTTGCATGCATGATACATAAAACCATGAATACATCCATATTATAGATTAAAGTAGGGATCACAGATTCCCTGTGTATGGCTTCAACTCTACCTCATAGTATCCTATTCTAGTCAAGAAAGTATACTGAAATGAAATTAAGTAAGAACAACATTATTATGGAAATCATCTTGAGTTTGCTCTTAAAAAAAAATAGTAAGTAATCTCTAAAGAGTGCTCTAGGTACTTTTTTGGTAATAGGTGAATAAGCAAAATAACTCCTAATCAAGCAAGACCAAGAGGCCCAATACCATGGTTGAGACCTTTTATCCAGAATGTTTATCCAAGCAGCACATCAATTGAGCACTGGCAACTGAAAACTAACAAGGATTCAGAAAGGCAGAATATTATAATACAGGATGCCATCTAGCAGGTTTCAGAAACCAAGGCATAAGAAGAATATGATCTAGAGTCAAAAATCTGAGCCACTGGAAAACTGGAAGACAAAAGATAGGGCGACATCTGAAGGACAAGGATATCAAGGTCAATAGTGGGGTCTGCAGCAGGCCAGATGACCTGACCTGACAGTGGTATTCAGAGGGCTTCTGATGGCAGGGCTGGTCTGTCCTTGCTTTCCCACTGCAACCTGCCAGACCAAAAGGAATGTGAGAACAGATAATTGAAACTAATATATCCTAATACTCACTAGGTCGGCCGGGAATGGTGGCGTACGCCTGTAATAGTCACGTGGTCACAAAAGACCATGTGAAAAAAGTCTTTAAGAACACATTTTAAAAAAGACTTCTTATAGCTCTGACTCATTGTGAAAACTGCGTAAGAACATTGTTCCAGGAATCATTGTCTTTCATACTAATCTCATTGCTTTGCCATGATGTAAGAGAGTTTAACTTGTGGAGTCTCAGAATAGCTCAGATGGGGAATTTTTTATACAACGCTCTCAGTACCTCTGAGTTACCTTTAGGATCAAGGACTCCAACAAGAGGCAACAGAGTAATTCTGCTGTGAGGTATACTAGATGGGATGAAGCTAAGTGGAAAGAATAAGTCATCCAATCTTTAGTGCTTTGGGGCATGAGCTCAGTATTGCCTACAGTCCCCTTTTAAAAATGAAAGGTAAAAATAGTTAATGATACTAACACCATTAAATATGATTTTTTCCCCAGAGACAGCCTGGGAGAACACCCAATGTTATAAAAATATCATAACTCAGTGTGACAAAATCATCATCATGTTCAGAAAGGAGATGTTTCTTAAGTGAGGAATAAGGTAATGAGTGATCCCTCAAGTTTGGTAGGCCTGGCTGATACACTTAAGGGCCACCATGTGAGAGAAGCCTGCACACATCACAAGTTTAGACCCTTACAAGACTACAGGCAGTAGTCACAGCAGGTCCAGTCCTGAAGAAAGATGACTGACACAGACCCCTTCAATAAAAGAAAATTCTCATAGTCCTTCAAGATTCCTTGTTATAGGCTCACTATATCTCAGCACCCCCCAACCCCAAAATCGTTATGTTAAAGTCCTAGTACCCAGTAGCTCAGATGTGATTGTCTTTGGACATAGGGCTGTTAAAAAGGAAATTAAGTTAGAAAGAGTGAATCAGGGTGGGCCCTAATCTAATCTGACTGGTGTCCTTAACACCGCATGTTCTCACTCATAGGTGGGAACTGAACAATGAGAACACTTGGACACAGGGTGGGGAACATCACACACCAGGGCCTGTCATGGGGTCGGGGGAGGGGGGAGGGATAGCATTAGGAGAAACACCTAATGTAAATGACTAGTTAATGGGTGCAGCACACCAACATGGCACATGTATACATACGTAACAAACCTGCACGTTGTGCACATGTACCCTAGAACTTAAAGTATAATAAAAGATAAAGAAAAAAAAAAAAGAAGAGGATATTAGAACACACAGAGAGACACCAGGGATGCAAGTGTGTAGAGAAAAAGACCATGTGTAAAAGACAGAGAGAGAAGGCAGCCATCTACAAGCCAAAGAGAGAGGCCTCATGAGAAACCAAACCTGTCGTGACCTCGATCTTGGAGATCTAGCCTCCAGAACTGTGAGAAAATAAATGTTTGTTGTTTAAGTCACTCAGTTTGTGGTATTTGTTATGGTAGCCCTAATAAACCAAAACATTCTTCAATAAAAACTTTTTAAAACAGTAGAATATTTGATAATAAATGGAATCACAACATAAAACCATCTGTAACTTTTACTAATGCAAATCTCAATATTTTCTTGACTCTGAAGAAAATAATAGGAGCTTCGGAAAAGGTAAAACTAGCAGTCTCATGTTTTATTGTATTTTTTAAAAACTCGACCAAACTAATTTATTTACTGCACATGGCATTTACCAGCTGATACATTGCACTTCATACATTCTTAAAACTACTTTACCTCTCTTCCTCTTCCTACGTGGTTGTGTTGCATACTCCGGGCTCTTCTATGGAGCTTGTTAGTTCCCCTCAGTTACCAGTTATCTTCCAGATTCGTTCACGGTAGGATTTAACCATGTTGGGTTGTGAAGCAAGATCTATTGCTTCATATTTCACCCACTTAAGAAAGTTATTTGCCATTAAATTTCTTATTGTCATGTTTACAATAAGGGCGGGGTTTAAATATTATCTAGGAAGTGATGCTAGTTATGTTAGGCTTTCTATACCACAGAGAAACAATAGGAAATCTTCTCAGGCTGTTAAGCATTGAAAACAGCAGCCATTTAGATGACTTGGAGTGATTGTTGGCTGGGAGCTACTGTCCTGTACCTGGCTTATTTTCTACTGAGCCAGGCATCCTGGCTATTGATTGAAGCAATTTTTCTTATCCCCTTGCTCTCTAACTACAAAATGGCCCTTCAGTGCTGACCTTAAAGATGAGTGCTGCTTTTTTTTGTTTCCATTTTCCCTGATACATTCCCTGCCCTTTTCTTCCATAATAAGTGAAAAAAATAAAAAATAAAAAAAGCAGTGCCCACACTCCCTTAGGTGGTTCCATGAGAAACATTCAACCTTTCTTTCTTGGCAGGAGAGATACCAATTACATATCTGCATTGGCAGTAGCTACCTGTGCTCTAAGGACTGTAAATTTTTGTTCCATTTTTGTCTTGTTGGATGATAATAATAGCCACATTTCTTGAGACCTACCAGGTGTCAGGTACTGAGTAAGTACTTGACATAGAAAGTTTAACCCTCACATGAATCCTATAAGGTAAGTACTATTATCCCATATTGTTGAATAGAAAATTGAGGCATAGAGTGGTTGAATAACTTGTCTTGGATCACAGAGCTAACAAGTGTTAAAGCCACATCTTGAAGGTCAGAGCAAGTACTCTTACTCATCACACCCTACTCCCCTGCTTCCATTCCCTATCTCCCTTACTGATGTTTGAGAAAATTATTAGCCTTTCTGGTTACACAATGCCTCTTGAGCAGAGGATCTCAAGGTATCAGGTTGTGTCTTGAAGGCTAGAGTTGTACTGTAATTCCAACCCAGAAAAGCCTTCCCAGATCTTATTTAGTCAACAAAATTATACTACCTCTACAGATGAGGCCTATCATTATATGAGGGTATTATATTATCATATTAATAGTTGCTTCCAAATTTATCAACCCAATTTTTAATATAAAAAAGCCAATAGTGTCTGGCATTAAAACCAATGGAGAAACCATACTCCAAGGTCTTCACCAAGTGACTTAATCTATTGATAATCAGCATGGGAGTAATCCATGGTGCAACATATCTGCTTGCTCATCAAGTGTTTTAAGATAAAAGATTTGGCTGGGCGCAGTGGTTCATGCCTATAATCCCAGCACTTTGGGAGGCCAAGGTGGGTGGATCATGAGGTCAGGAGATCAAGACCATCGTGGCCAACATGGCGAAATCCCTTGTCTATTAAAAATACAAAAATTAGCCAGGCGTGGTGGTATGCACCTGTAGTCCCAGCTATTCAAAAGGCTGAGGCAGGAGAATCGCTTGAACCAGGGAGGCGGAGGTTGCAGTGAGCCGAGATCATGCCACTGTACTCCAGCCTGGCGACAGAGCAAAACTCCATCAAAAAAAAAAAAAAAAAGATAAAAGATGCTTGGTTTTGTTGAAATTACTACTTCTGCTTTCAATTTAATTCCTTGATCACCTACCTCTGATCATTCGTTTAGAATATAGTCTGAACTTAAAAAAGAAATCAGAAAACTAAGGTTAGAGCTTCCTATTTAATCTCAGCTATTGAGAAACAAATTTCTTAAACCTAGCGGATGTATCAGATAAACAAGTAGCTTTCCAATGTTGAGTAATGACCTGTTTCAAGGTCATGATTAATTTTTCTTAATGAAATAAAAAATAATGGAGAATACCAGAGTGTATTATTACACAGAGTGAGGTAAATATTATTTTGGAAAACTCTAGTTTTCAACTGCATGTTAATGTAACTGTGTGTTTTACAGCAAGTCACAGTCAAAAACATTGGGAAAACACTGATCTTCTGTTAGGTCCACAGAAGTGTGATCAATGAGTAGGAACATGCCTGGGTAGAGACTGGTCCTTGCATTCAGATGAGTTTCAGGAACACAGTACACTGTGAGGACCTGTGGACATTTCTATGTGTGTATTTTTTCCAATATTTTCTTTCTTTGTCCCCCAAATCTAAACTGTTTCAAGGGCCTTTCTTTCCTTCCATGAAGATGTTTCTTTCCTCTTTTCTGACCCACTGTCACTAAGACACGCTCTCTTCTTTTCTCATATCTAGGTCACTGCCATAGCACCTCCATGGGCTTATTCCCCCTCCTTCCCCACTCTTTCTCTACTCACCAATCCATGTTATTTACCTTTTCAGACCATCTTTCTAAAAATAATCTTTATATTTAGTAAATCTGTTTATAGAGAATCAAGTTCAAACTCTTTTATGTGGCCTCAACTTTCCTGCCTTTATGATCTGCATTTTCCACCATGCACCCTATTTTCCAAAATATTTTCCAAAGTAGGATGAATGGTGGAAAATGCAGATCATAAAGACAGGAAGGTTTTTCTAATGGACATGCCATTCTTACACTATTTCTGTACTTTTGACTGCATAGTTTAATTATTGAGTATTTCTGTACCTAACTTGCTTCTCCAGATTCTATCTTAAGTTCTAATTCTACCATGACATCTTTACTTACTGCTGTTGTTCAGACCTCTTTCGAAAATTCATAGAAGTGGAACATGCTATACTTATATCACTCCAGTATAGCCTCATTCAAGTTATTTTTTTTTCTTCAATGATATCATAAGCAGCTTGAGGCCAAGGCTCATGTTTTTCTTCTATGTTGGTAATTAAAATACTAGCAATAATGGTATTATGTGGTACTTACTATGTGCCAAGTAATAAACAAATATTATGTATGGACTGTTATATATTTCTGAGCCTCACCATATCCCTGAAAAATGGATAACAGTTAATCTTCATGATTCACAGATTTTATATTTCTGAATCGACCTATGTGTTAAAATTTATTTGTAATATTGAAACTAAAATGCACAGCACCATCATAGCCAACTGTGGACATGCACAAAGTGGTAAAAATTTTGAGTTGGCCAATGTGCACTTTTCTAGCTGAGGTCTAACATGATGATGTTCTGCCTTTTTGTTTTAACCCTTATATTATAACCAAGTATACATTTCAGATCTTTTTATTGCCACATGTTTCATACTTTTGGGGCTTTTTGTTTTGTTGATTTCACTGCTTAAAATGAGCCCAGAATGGTGCTGAAGTAGTATCTAGTGATCTTAAGCACAACAAAGTTATCCTATACCTTACATAGAAAATAAGTATGTTAGATAAACCTTGTTTAGGCATGAGATAAAGTGCTGTCGGCTATGAGTTCAATGTTAGTGCATCAACAACATACATTAAATAAGGTGTATTTTAACTGAAACGCACATAAAACAAAGTCATTTTGATTGGTTGATGAAAATGTTGTGACCAGATTCTCAAAGGGACCTAATCCTGTATTTCCCTTTGGAGCAATGGTTCAGTATTTGTTAATTCAGTGTCTGCTGTAATGTTATAGACTATACCTATCACAAACAATGAATTGACTATTATCCCTTCTTTGTTTCTTTTTTTTACAGAAACTAAGAAATAAGGTAGACAAAGATTAAGTAACATGCCTGAAGATACTAAGATAGCTGGACAGGCTGAAATTTGATTTTAAATATGTCTGATTAAATTTTATTAAGTCTTAAAGTTTCTGGAGCAAGCAGTGCCAACTCAATCCTCTACTGATAGAATAAGATTCAGAATGAATTATTTCAGTGGTGAAAAAAAAGTAAATGAACAAGTATTTTTTTTTCTTTTTTTCCTCTGAATTAGATATTCAGAGCAGTTTTCTAATATTTTGTGAAACAATGTAAGTTCCTCAAACATTATTATATTACCCTTAGTTATTCATTAATTATATCAACAAATATTTGAGTGTCTACATGCTTCAAGTACCAAGCTAAGCCCTAGGGACAAAATAATCTCTCAAAGAGCTTAAAAAATATTGCTGAAGGCAGACCTAGCAACAATAATTATGATGTTGTGTGTGAAAGTTCTGTAGTACGGATGTTTACAAGATTTCAAAAGCCCACAGAAGTAGAAAAAAATTTAATCTGCCTGGGATTTGGTGAGACTTTTGAGAACAACAACAACAAAAGATATCTTTAAGCTGGATCTTAAAGAAACATAAGTCAGATGAGAAAAGGGAAATCTGGCTGGGCGCAGTGGCTCACGCCTGTAATCCCAGAACTTTGGGAGGTTGAGGCGGGCAGATCACGAGGTCAGGAGATGGAGACCATCCTGGCTAACACGGTGAAACCCCATCTCTACTAAAAATACAAAAAATTAGCGGGGCGTGGTGGCGGGCGTCTGTAGCCCCAGCTACTCGGGAGGCTGAGGCAGGAGAATGGCGTGAACCCGGGAGGCAGAGCTTGCAGTGAGCGAAGATCTCGCCACTGATCTCCAGCCTGGGCGACAGTGCGAGACTCCATCTCAAAAAAAAAAAAAAAAGAAAAGGGAAAGCTATACCACATGGCTTTAATGAATAGTCTTGGAGTTATGACAGTCCAAAGGTTTGGAAAAGAATATGCTTGAAGGGAAAAGTTTTTGAAATATGTTCTACTAGTTTTCCAAAATAAAATTATTACTGTGGCTTATCATTCCAAAACATATAAGCACATTTTTATTGTATGAGGTTTTTACAATTTTAACATCTCATAAATCAAGGTTGGGACTTAAAATGAAAGACAGCTTAGTATTGTCACAGGTATACACACAGCAGCTTTTCTTACATACAGGGCACAAATAAAGGTGTATATTATAGGTGATATTGTCTAAGCCAGGATAAAATACAGTTTTATAGTTGTATCCAAAGATGGGTACTTTTAGGAAAGAATAGGATCTTAGAGGGAGCTTCATCTTATGACCCGACAGCTGACCAGACAAAGCCTCTGCACCACCTCTTCGGGGTACAGCTGCATATGTTGCATTCACTTCTCCTCTTAGAGATCTAGTGAGTGGCTAGTTGAAAATGGTGATAATGTCATAAATTATTTCCTTTGTTTTTTCTCTTTTTACTGATCTATTTCAGTTTTGGCATCAAAAATAAACAATGGGTATCATATATAGGCTTTGATATGGACTTAATCATAGTATGCAACAGTTGCCAAAGAGTTAAGTGGCTACACACAGACAGAGTAATGAATGAAGGGAAACAGCTTTGCTGGTAGTTAACCCATGTTCCTTACTGAAGTAACTGTGCCCATTTTAATGGAATTTGGTGTTGATTTAGTAATGTGATACTTTTGGGATTCAGCCATGCATATTTTTTTAACTAAATAGAAGTGATACTCTTTTACTTTGATAAGTTCTAATTATCTTCACAGGATAATCAGGATGGAATAAGGAAAAGCTATACACTTTTTTGGTTTAAGAAAAATGTAGGGGTTATAGATGTTGCTTCTTCTTTTCTCCATTGTCAATGGCAGCAAATTATTGCTCTTAGTAAAAGAGGACATTAACTCCAAGAACTTAAACTGCAGTGGCTCATGTGATTTTAATGCTGTCCCTCAGTAAGGTGAATAATCTGGGGAAAGATTAACTTCACAATTTTATTAATTTCTTAAGGTGAATACAATATTCTGATTTATGAAGTTGTCAAGCTACATGTTAAAGCAATGAAAGAAGAATATTGTACTAACGTTTAAAAATAGGTTTGTTGTGAATTGATTTAGGAGATGACAACAATAATAACTTATATAATTTGAAATTTTAAGGGTTCATACAATTCTATGGATTTGTTAGTTAAAATACTTACATAAATCTCTCACATTCTGAATTACTATTACTGAACAGAGGTAGATAATATAAAAAATAAATGTTTTTATATACAAATACAAGAACAAAGTGTCTTAGTGGTATTTAGAAACCCTGCTGAATTAAATTTTTCATGAATGAGTTTCCTCCATAGGCCAAAAAATAAGTTACCTTTTAGAAATAATAATGACAATTAAAAACAGGAGTCATTTTAACTTAAGGACCTCATGTGTTGGGAGGAATCAGGCCAATTCTTATGATCCTAATTCATAATTTTATTTATTTATTTATTTATTTATTTATTTATTTAAGACAGAGTGTCACTCTGTCACCCAGGCCGGAGTGCAGTGGTGTGATCTCAGCTCACTGAGACCTCCGATTCCCGGGTTCAAGAGATACCGCCTCAGGCTCCCGAGTAGCTAGAATTACAGGCATGCACTACCATGCACTGCTTTTTTTTTTTTTTTTTTTTTGTATTTTTAGTAGCAACAGGGTTTCACCATGTTGTCCAGGCTGGTCTCAAACTCCTGACCTCAAGGGATCAGCCTGCCTTGACCTCCCAAAGTGCTGTGATTACAGACATGAGCCACTGCGCCTGGTTTAATTCACAATATCATCACAGCCATATTAAAGGCCTTCAAAAGTTTTCAAGGTCTTCATGGTTTAATTCATTTGATTTTCAATAGAAAAAAGTATATGCATATGCACATATTTGTATGTGCCTGTGTATGTTTATTGGAGTACATTCCAATAATTTACTAACCAGATATCCAAACTTTTCCTATGATCTTGCTAATATAAGCTATTCTGTCTGTAGTAGTTAGTATATAGTAGACAATTCTATGTCTCTTTCATCAAAATATCCAATCAAGTTTTTAATTGAGTACAACATTACCAGCCATTTTTAATAAAATACCTTGCACATAACTACATTTAAAAGAATATATTCCCTTTAATTTTACTTAATTTCTCTTTTATCTTTTCTCATCATTTTCTACTGGAAAAAGGATGAAAAAAGTTCATGGATACCTCTGTGATTATTACCACTACTTTTGTTGTTAATACATTCAACAAACATTTGTTGAACATCTTCTATAGACAGGATTCTATGTGAAATCTTATTTGCAGGAGGTGGGCTGGCACTTGGCTAGGGTCCAAAGATGGATCAGAAACATGTCTTTTTTTCCGAAGATTTGCTAATTAGTGCTGATACTACAAGATATGATGAGATGCAGAAGAGGAAATGCTCTTGGAGTTCACAGGCCCATAAGACCTGAGAACTTCAACAGCAGATTGAGATAGACGAAGCCGGTCTGAAAACACAGAGGAAGCAAAGACCCAGAGCCAAGAACATACAGTGCTTTCAGGAATCAGGAAGTGGTTCATTTACCTCAAGTGGCTGGTCTGTGAGGAGAAAGAGTAATCCACACATGAGGCTGGAAAGGTAGGTAACCTACATATGTGGAGTGTACTAGGAGGCAGTATAATGACTTCAAGTTGTCATTCGGGAAGACTTGAAGCTCTACCAAAGGTTTTTGAGTAGACAGTGACATAATCAGAGCTGTTCTATGATAAATTATAGTACCACAGTATATAACATTGCTAGGGATGTAGGTAAACAGGCGAGGGAGGATCAAAAGGAAGAGGCCACAGAAATCATGTAGGCTGAGGTAATTAGAGGCTGACCTGGATGACAGTAGTGGAAAGAGAGAGGAAAGAATGGATGAAAGAGGCATTAAGTAGGCAGACCCAAGAGAAAAGAGAAAAGGAAAAAGTCAAGATGGCATTTCAATTCTAGCTAGGGACTACTAATTCTATTTTTAAAAAGTGGAGAAATGCAAGAAAACTTGGAATTAAGATTAGTTTATGCCACATTAATCCTGAGTTGCTAGCCAATTAGAAATGCCCAGAGCCCTTGGACATGGCAAAAACTAAAGTAACGTGAAGTTCAAAGAATATTGATGAAGATTATAAACCAGAGTTTATAATCAAGTAAAGAAGACAGTAAATATTTGCAAATTCTTTGTATAAAATTGTGGGAAGTAGAATACAAGAGATAAAAATTCTTTGAAATTTCAGATAAGAGAAAAATCATTTTCAGATAAAGGTGGGGGTTGGTCATCTGGAGTTCAGAAAGACTTACCAGAGTTGAGCTAGAATTATGACAGGCAGAGATGGGAGAGGAAGGAATTTCAGATAAGGAGGGCATTCCAGATGCCCCAAAAGACAACAGTAAAGTTAATGACATAGGAAAATGCAGCTGCCATTTGTGAGGCAATGACGAGGACACCAACGTGCTTAGGACTTTGTGTATACTTCCTTTGATGAAGTAGGATGGAAAGAGAGAAACCTATTTCTGACTAGACTAAAATGAAACAAGATAATTAGCCAAATTGCTCTATTTAAGTCAAACCAGCTAATGTCAATGACTAAGCAACTGGTTAATGGAATTTTTCATTGAATTTATGCACACAAATAAGTAGCTCAGTCAAAATATGTTCTAAATATAAACTGGTCACATTAATTTCTTGAACTTGCACACATAAGAATTTTGAAGCCCTACACTTTTGAGAGTTAGAGATTATTTCATGGAGTACTTTACCTAATGTTTCAACTGTGAACAGAGTTTATGAGAATTTTTTTGAAATCACAACTTATATTTTGTGTCAAAGACTTTAAATGCTATTTTTAATGTAAATATTAATAGAAGCATTTCAGAACTGCAGGGAAAAGTACTTGGTTACTTTATTAACATTTAAAACTTAGGAAAAAAAGTGTTTCATCTTTGTAAGAGAAAAGCATCTTTGAAATGTTCAAAAGATAATAATCTTCCATCCACTCCAGGCAATGTACTTTTACAATTATAATTTTAAATACGGACAGTGGTGATTTAATATAGAATTCAGCACCAATAATTCTCGTAGCAGTTTCTTTCAGCAGTATATGCATATGATTTTAGCAATATATGTACCTCTATACAAATTAGGGTGTCAGTATTATTTATGAAAGACTCCATGATTCTAAAAAGTCTTGTTTTCCTCTTTCCTTCAATAGCTAATTAAAACAAAACAAAACAAAACAAAACAAAACAAAACAAATCCTGTATTTTCCAAGGGAAATACCAATAAACTTACAAATTTAGAGTAGGCTGAAGGAACACAAAACCTAATCTGGGAGTTTTGCCAAATCTTTATTTTAATGAACTTTATGCAGAGATGCAGTAAGAACATTATGCTGAAAATGCAGAAATGAACTCAGCAGTCTTTGTAGAAGTACCTTTGAATCTACAGCATAAAAAGAGTTAATCTGAAACGCAAACTGTAGTTGCATTAAATATGCTTTGTTTGCCATTCAATAAGCTTTGTTTTAATGGCAAAGGCAATACTGACATTGGGTGAGTACTTAAACTTTATTATGGAAATAAATGATGTTGTTCTAAAAGTCTTCCAAAACAAGAAAAATATGCTGTGAGAAGTTATTGAATTTCGTATTTTCTTAGCTAGAACAATTTTCTATTTGCCTTATATTTTCAGGGAATAGTTTGATAAAATTAAATATGTTTTTCCCCCACTAATAGCAAAATCCTAAACAAACTTTAAACTATGTTTTTTTGCATGTTACAGTTAATGTGTTTTCATTATGCTTAATGCATTTTTAATAGTCTCCTATGTCAAGATGGTATATTAAATGTGGGAATAAAATATCCATGATACCACCTTGAATTTGCTATAGTGCCTTTTATCTGGGGGCTCAAAGCACTTCATACAGGTTCTCATTCAGTATCTCCTTGAGGTGTAATATATGCATTTTATGGGCGAGGACATTGAGGTGGAGAATGACTAAGGGAACTGAGGTCATTTCCAGAGCTCACACTAAGCATAACTTGGATGAGCATTATCTTCCTCCAGTCCGCCTCCAAGACGGCTGCACTGGCTTCGTGGGACCAAAAACTGATTGCATCTTCACTAGCCCTTTCCTTCACGAACTTGTCTCCCTTACCTGGACACCATCAGATGCAGGGATGTAACTTGCCCTTTTAAATGTGTCTGTCACATTTCTCAGGATCTCCACAGACATCAGAAGATCGCCTGCATAGAAATTTTTTCTCTGAGTTAAATCCAACAGTGTCTTGGTCACCTGGGACATTCCATCACCTGCCAGCATTCGCTGCCCCTTAGCAAGGTGCTCTTTAATCTGTGATGGTCAAAAGAACAGAGCAAACATCAGAATCTTCATTACCATTTATCTGAATAACTTCATCAAACAACTTTATTTAAAATTGCTCAATTAACTTAAAATAGCCTTGCAATGCTTGGGAGGATTTGAAAACTGTAAATTGTGTGTATCCCATACTCAGATGGATAAACATCCAGCATGCAAGAATTAATGAGTGTATACTTTTCGGCAGGCTTGACAAACTTGCCATTTCTAGTTAGAACACACAATTCAACACATTTGGGAAAATGTGTATTAATTTAGGTTCTTAATTGGAGTAAAAATCAAAAATACTTTAGCATGTGGTAAACATGGGGGACTGTTTAGTAAGGTGTGATCAGAGATGGGAGATTATAAACACTTCAAAAATAGCCATTTTTACCAACAAGCTGAGCTTATTAACTTTTGCCTTACCTCTTAAAATGAACACATCTCTATAGAGCAGCAAAGAAAGTTATTAGCAGCACAAATTTACTTAAAATATCTTTAAACTTTGGAGATTTACTATGACATGATTGAAAACCAGATTGCTTTAGCTTTTTTTTTAAAAAAAAACAGCAAAAACAATTGAAAACTCTCTGCTGGGTCTTCAGCAACAGAATGAACTATTAAAATGCAAAGCTTAAATTAGTTTGATGGTCAGAGAAATGTGCTGCCAATTCTTATATTTGCTTGTTGTACAGTTCAAGGGAGGAAAAACATCTTATAATGCGAAAGAATAGTAAGGTAAGAGAAGGTAAAGAAATAGCAGGAATCCATTATACTTTTACTTGTTTACTAAAAGTTTAATCTGTACCTTTTCTTTGCTAAATTTGTATAAAATTAACTAAAAAAAAATGAAATAATCAATAATTAACAGGCCAGAGAAATAGTGAAATAGGAAGGTTAAAGTACATTAATTGCAATTACCAATTTCCCATCAAGAACTGTGCCAACAAATCTTTTAAAGTATGGCAATCAATCTGATCTAATCAAAAAAGTATAAATTTTCTAAGTATTATATTTCAGAAAGTGTTGAAATCTCATATATTTTACTTTTCTTTTTCTGTAAAGATGTCTAAAACAATTTTGGTAAAATAAAATCTTTAGAGACATACTTTATTTCCATTGTGTTATGCTAAAAGTCATAACATATTTAGGTACTTCTCCCTATTCTTTCATTCCTTTTCATCTCTCTTTGGTAGCTGCCATCAACCATGGACTAAAACCCAAATGACTGACACGGCATCAGTAATCTGGCTTTTACCTATCTCTGTAGTGTCAGTGCTAATTGTCTGGTAATGGAGTGATATTTACGTATTTATTCATGAAAGAGACACGGCACTGGCCAATAAGAAGGACATGAACCCTCAAAGTAGAAGCCAGCTGGTTTCTACTTTGTACCAGGCTGTACCACCAGGCTGAACTCCAGTGCTGCTTCTAAACTACTGGTAATTATTTGCAATTTTCTGTTCAGGTCATGCGTTTCATGACTTCAGATTTTCACAATAGATATTCTACCCTCTTTTCTTCCATGGTCTCTTCTTTAAAAACCACTCATATTTAGTTCTTGTTCTTCTAAATAACTAAACAGAGTTAATCAAAGCCTTCTCTTGTTATCTTTTATACAGACATGACTTTTATCACAGAGAATGGTGATTATCTGCTTATTTTTCTGTCCCAATAGTCTTTCTGAAACTTGAGGGTAGTCTCCCTGCCTTATTCACAGTCTTAGCAAACAGCATAGCAAAATTTTGTTGCAGTGAATTCAGTTGTTATGCCCTAAGTACACCTTTGTGGTGCAATATAATGGAATGGGCTTTAGAGCCAGGTGTGCCTAGGTTTGTGTTTCAACTTTGCAGCTTATTATTTATGTAATTGAGTTCATTGGACACTCAGCTTACCATGTTTCCTCTGAGATTTGAAAAATAGATCTATATATTAAAAATGTTTTAAAAGTAATTTTCTTAACACAATTCAACCCACACAAGCCTAAGATAATTAGCAGAAGCTAGAGCATACACGAAAGCATCTTGCTTTCCCAAGGTCTGTGTGCCCTACATGCTCTAGTTTCTGCGGAGTTCTTCCCCGTTCCCCGCCATTTGCTGTGCTCTAGTGGCACTTGTCTTTTTGCTCTTCCTCAATAACATTAGGAAAATGCATATCTCAGGGCCTTTGTCTTGCTTTTTTTTTTTTTGTGGGAGCGAGGGGATGGCGGGGGCCTTGAATAGTCTTTCCACAAGCATTCACATGCTTTTTGTCGCCTTCTCAGAAAGGTCTTACCTGACTTCCTACCTAAAATGGAGTCCGTGTCATTCTCAGTCATCTCCCAGACTTTATCAGGCTCAACCTTACCTGCCATTGTGCCTTCTATTTCTTGTTTTTTTCATTTTTCTGCCTGTGCCATTAAAATATTAATATAAGCCTTCTGAAGGAGGAGGTTTTGTTTATTATTTTATTCCCATTATCTAGAACCTTATTCAACATACTGAATGAATGAGTTAAAGGAATGAATGGGTTATTGAATCAACTTCCATCTATGCTTAGGTTGTTAGGTCATAGGATTAAGTTAGGCACACTTGAAAGATGTAACTTACTCATGAACATAGTCCATAGGAAACACTGGTAACAAATAGCATGAGACAAACACACTACCTGACTTAAAGAGGTAGTGCTGCTTCTGAGCTGAAAAACGTCTGGTGCTCTAGCTGCACTTGTCCTTTTGCTCTTCCTCAATAACATTAGGCACAGGGGTGTCTCAGGATATGCATGAAGGGTGAGGAAAGTTTTGAAGAGAAATGAAGGTAATAGAGTCTAACCTAAAAAAAGTCATGAAATTCAGTCCTCAGTTTTGTGCTGGCAATGCAAATCACAGCTGTGATACTCAAAGCTGCAGAAGACTAAATTGTTCTCCATTAGGAATGGAATGTAGCAATGGTTGCCACGGTAAATAATTAATGTCTGACTGCCTCAAATCAGCCCTTTCTCTATTATTTTGGCAACCCATACCTGTGCCTGTGAGGGATTTAACTTGTACAGATATCCTCAAACAAAAACATCACAACATAGAATTGAATCTTGAGAAATAAAACATTTAGACATGCTTTCTGTTTGCAATAAAAATAGTTACAGAAGGCACTGGATGGCTCAACTAATAGGAAAGCCAGTCTGTCACGTCTGGGTCAGCATCAAATCTGGCCCAAGTCAGTAGTAAATTAACGTCATTGCCATCTGACAGCTGCTTAGAAGGCTTATGTAGAATGAGTTGTTGTCAGTCCAGCTCTTAGCAAACAGGTGCCCAGATGACAACACCAGCTCTAACAATTGGCACTGATTAGCATCCTTCCTGGCATTGTAGGTGAAAAGCACTCGGGACAACTACCTTGTAATATTTTTACACACTGGTGAGACTATTCGTTGTCTTTATACAGGGTATAAAGAATGTTTGAATAACATACGTTTCTGTCCAGAACGTATTTAGTTGAAAGACAATTTCCCAGTTCTTGATCTTCTATCCACAACACATGCATACTGTGAAGAGTTCTCTTTTTTTTGCCTTATGTCTACCCTTTCACTACCTATTTCCTAGAATGACATGTCCAGGTTTATCTGCTAGATTGTTTTCCCTTTTTTCTTTCTGGATTATGAAGTTGAGAATAAATGGGTTTGCTCATCTTACCTCTTCCTTGTTTCAAACTGTCCTTTATTTGCATTCTACTTCTCCTCCTTTGTTGTCATCTCTATGGTTTAATTCTATGGTTATTTCTAAGGTTTTGAATCCCATCCAATCCCTTCTTCAATATTTCTCTCTCAAAAAAAAATTGCCTGATATCATATATCTTATTTAAATATCAACTTCTCTTATTGCTACTTCCTTTCAACTACTGTTTTCTCCCTGGTTCTCTTCAAAATCAATATCAGAGGTACAAAATTTGGTTTGAGCCCAACAACTTTTTAAGTTTTAAATTAAAATTTCCAGTTACCTACAAAGTATGCTTTCTGGAAATCTTGTTAGTATGTCATGTCTAAGTAGCAGTTGTAATAATAAAACCTAGATTTAAATTGTGGTTCTACTACTTATTACAAAGAACCATTGGAAAAAATTATTTAACTCTCTCCTAGGATTATTTCATTTATCTGTAAAAAGGAGAAAATAATCACGTTGTTATTATGATGGGTTAATATAAAAATAGAGGTTAAAAGTGGACATTCAGTGACTGTTTCCTCTTCTCCCAAATTCAAGATCCAATTTCTCGAAATGCTAGCTATATAGTGTTTCTCATCTCCATCCTTTTCCTATAGACACGAGATGGATCCTGGTATAGGTCTTCAGTACTTAACTTCCAGAAGGTTGAATCTTTCTTCAACTGAATCTAATTGGCTATTTATTCTATTCATTAATTTCAATGACAATATTTTACTTATAGAAGTTCTGTTTAAAGTTTTTCATATTCTTTAATTATTTAACTGTTCTTTCACATCTTAATGATTTTAATTATTTCTGTTCTTTCATGTCTTAACGATTTTAAACAATATATTATAGTTTTAAAAATATTTCCTATTCTTTTAAATTTCTTGTTTTGCTGAGTCTCCTGATTCCTGCATTTGCTGATTCTTCTTCATAATGTTTTGCTTCATGATATTTATAATTATTGTAAACTTATATTCAATGGGATATATTTATCTTTTGGGAGCCCCAAGTGCCTGGTTTGTGAAACAGTTGTTAGAGATGCTTTTGAGTGCATTTCTCTGGGTGTGGAGCCTTCAGGCAGTTCACTGGTCCTGAATCAATTTATGCAACTTTTGATGTTAATTCCATCTGTTCTTGGTTCAGACTAGGAGTTTCCATTTCTGAAAGGCAATTTATTTCCTCTTCTCCAAGAAACTCTGTATGAATTACAAATTTCTTAGACACATTGCAGGCCTGAGAATGCATAGGGTTTTTCTACTTCATGAGGCTAGAGCAGCAATACAGTGCTGGGTCATTGCTGGAGGCTTGGAAGGGCATCGCTGCTTGTGTGAGAGGTGTCGTTAGCATCCTCACAAAGGCTTTAGGACCTCAGCTTCCAGCAGCCAAGGCTTATGTATGATCTAACACTCCAATAGCTTTTTCCTACAGTTCTGGCTTTGATATCCCCCTGCGTTAATTTCCAATACCTAAGGATTCCTAGGTCTTTCTTTTGAGAGAAGCTATAAGTCAATATTTGAAAATATATACTTCCTATAGTTTATGCAGAAGTCATTATGATCTATAATGGTCAGCTTGGTTCACCCCACTGTTCTATTACGACTACTACAAGTACCCTAGTAACAATCTGTCTAAATTTCTCACCACTTCTCCCTGCAATAATCATGGATTCTGTCTTTGCTCCCTGACTCATGCTATTCTGTCACTTTAAATGCTCTCCCAAAATCCTCTCATTAAATTGTTCTCTCTCTTTTCTCCTTCACGAATTCTTTTTGGATAACTGCAATCATGATATGATCTCTATTTTCAGGCTCATAGAAGTAATCTTGCTGTATCTTATATTACTATAGTGTTTGTGTTGTTATCTTATCCATTCCACTAGACCATAAACTCCTAAAGAGCCTGTAGTTTCTTCTTCATCTTTGTTTCCACTATAATCTCTAAAACGCTATGTGACACACAAAAGTACCTGTTCAAAGGGCTTGCTGAATTGAACTAAAACTACAGGAGGATTTTATTTTACTTTCAACTATAATCCACAAATGTTGGCAAGGTAAAAGCAGTAGTCCATAATTATTCAAAACAAAGAAATATGTAATAATTGGAGAACTTTTACACTTCCTGACAGAATTGCTTTGTAAACTATATCCAATTAATATAAGTAGGCAAATGAATTCAGAAATTTTAGACATCTACAGTTATATACTTGCTACCTTTAGAAAATAATAACAACAATCATTTATCATTCTGATTATATCGCAAGCATGAGACTACATGTTTTATAAGGGGTACCTCACTTGAGCTTTAAAACAATCCTTGGAGGTGCCATAATGATTCACATTTACAGATGAAGGAGTGGAGACTTAGTAAGGTTAACTGCATTCTCCAGGATTGCATAGCTCCTAAGTAGTGACTATGGAGATTTGAGCCCAGGCAGTCTGATCCTTAGTTCATGTGCTTAACTAATACTATATGCTTCACTCAGGTTTTATATGGTGCTTTCATTAGAAATTGTCAAAATAAGCATTTTGACAATATTTAAATGTGTTCGTATGTTTAATCTGTCCAGAATATTTAAAAATCATTATCAACCATGTTTGCGTTAAGGAGAAATTCAATCTTTTTCATATGAAGAAACAAAAGACATGAAACAACTTACCGGACTCTTGAGGTATTGAAAATTATTTGAGTAGTAGTTGTTTTTATGGAATATAATGTGTAACCGTTTCTAAAGCCATTTACCAATACCTATAGAAGATTTTGTAGGTAGTTTTACTCAAGTGGAGGTTGAATAAAACCCAAGGTTACCTTAAGGACTCCATTTCCTTTGGGTAGCATGTTTTGATTATTGTAATTTAATCATGGAAATAATTCAGAAAGGTTTTTTGTAATTTTCATATTTCCTTTTAAAATTATAATTATCAGTGATTATGCTTGCTCACATTGCAACACTGTGAGCATTATTGCTCCAAAGGACAAGTCTTAAAAGTTTCTGTGTCATTCATATTTACTACTATTGAGAAGATCAACAGTGAAAGGGGGAAAAATGAGTCTAAAAATAGTTGCTCTTCAGAGTTCTGGATTAAGCCTCCTTGTTCTTTTTATAGAGAGATGTGGAGAGGGTCATGGTTTAAAGAGTAGGTGTGTTTCTGAAATAACCTTATTCTTTTCATTTCAAGCCTCCTACTGCCAGCCACAGTTGCCGCTATTGTGTGAATATTAAAAAAAGGTTTATCATAGTTGCTCTGTGCAAATGATACATTTTAAACATCACATATTTATATATTATTTTCAGCATCAACTCCTACAGCCCATCTGCAAGGTATGTTAAAGGCTTTCACAGTTCTAAGTGGCTTCAATTAAAAGATAATTATACATAGAGCTTTTTTCATAAAGCAACAATCTAAATATACATCTTTTAATTTAGTTCATAATCTGTAATTTCCTAAGACCAAAGTCACTCATTGGACAATGGCATTTGATTATTTATAAATCTACCTGAAGTCTCCAGGAAATATAGAGATTATTCTATGTGAAAAAGAAGGTATACCCTTAGTTCTGGTAAATGAATATTTCTTAATTTTCCCTATGTTTGATACGAAGAGTTTGTGTTCATCTCAGAGTTGCCCTAAAGTGGAAACATCAAGTCTGAAAATAAAATCATTGTCTGGAGACGATATGATAGGGCAGATTTGGTCCAGAATTTCACTGCATGAATCATGTAGGTATCACATAGAACTCAGAATGGTGTGTTGAACAGCATTTGGCCAAAAGTGCTTCAGATATCCCAGTTTCTTGTCTGAGGAATATCTGAAGTGAGAGATTGGACAGCATGAATTTGAGAACTGAAAATTATTGTTGGGAATAAACTGAGCCATGGAGAAAATTGAGTCAGGTATAAACTGTGCATATTTTGCTGTAAAACCTGAAATTTCCAAAATAAGAATGAGAGCATAGTAAATTTGCCTATCCAATATAAACAAGGAATAGCTTTAATTTCAGAGTTTTTGGCTAGAATTTGACAAAACTGCAATCCTGAGCAAAGGACATATGTAGGTGAGACGTCTTTTCTAAACATCAAACAAATCTAGATGTTCTCATAAATATTTTGAGCCAGCAGATGGAACTAGAGCATGCTCTGTGAGCTCAAAACAGTATAGTGGCCACAGACTGGTGCCCAAGCTTTTAGAAACCTCCCCAATCAGAAGCAGAGCACTAAGTAACATGATGTTTCTCTGTAGATTTCTCAATTCTATTTCCATTACTTGACTTTTCTGGTTCTAGGGATTGTACACCAGTCAGAATAGGATAGATTATGCTGTACTAACTACTTCAAAATCTCAGTACCTGAAAGCCACAAAGGAATATTTATCACACCGCATATGCAACCCACATCATCAGGGAGGCTCTGTTTATTACAGTCCTTCAAGGGCTTGAGATGATGGAGGATAAAAGACCTTGCAATGGCAATGAATGACACTCTCAGGCCTGACATGGCAATGGTCACCTCCATGCACAACCAATTGACCAGAACTAGTCACATAGGTACCTAACATCAAGGGGGTGAGGAAGTACAATCCTCCCATATGCCCAGAAGAGGAAAATCAGATATCACCTAATATAATATGTTTTGTGATGGTATGATGCTAACTAACAGTCATTTTACTTCTTTGCCTCTCTCTAATGCCAATGGATTGATTCATCAAAATATCAACGCTGGATAAAATCTACCACAGTGTTTCTCAAACTTTAATGTGCAGTGAATCACAAAGAGCACTTTTCAAAGTTGCTGATTCTGATAACGTAAGTCTGGGGCAGTCTAAGATGCTACATTTCTAACAAGCTCTCAGGTGCTGCGGACACTTCTGGTCCTCAGAAAACATTCTGAATAGCAAGGCTTTAACAAATACCTTCCCTGCACCTGCATACAAGTAGCTCAACTTTGTTGGAGAAAAATCATAACTAAACTGACAGCTATACTCTAAATTCTGTATTTCAGACTTCAGGTTGTACAATGCAGCCTGCTAATCCTATTATATTTCTCTAATAGGCTTATTTTCAACCTTCTGGAAATTACTGTTTTATACCTTTTCATCTCTCTTGGAAAGACACACATTTCCTCCTAAATCCTCACTCTTAGCTAATGATCCTGCCTCATACTAAATGGAGAAAAAAAAAATCCATCAGATGAAAACCCCATAATCTCTCCCACACAAAACCCACTAAGCTCTTTTCACTGTATTCATCTTTCCCATCTGCTTTCCTCTGGTTATAAAGGAGAAAGTATCTTTTTTCCTACCAAAGTGAATTTTTTGACTTTTGCTATGGCTAACATTTCTTTTTGCCTTCTTGGGTTTTCTTTAATTTTTCATGTTTCTCTTCTAAATTTTTACTGGATCATTTATTTTAACATATAAAAATGTTATAATATTTCTCATTTAAAACAAAACAAAATAATACAAAACCCTTTTTTGGCCTTACACATCCTCCTAACTACTACCCTATTCTTCTGCTCTCATTCATTATCAAAATTTAGAAAGGGATAAATACACAACCATTTTTTACTTCCTAATCTCCTGTTCTTTGTGTTGATGACTTCCAAAATTATTTCCTGTCCAGAAATTAGAATCTGAGTTTCCGACTCCCATATCCAATTACATTCTCCAGATTTAATAGAAACAACCTTTGACAACCCAAAACCTCATCTGTCCCAAATTATTCCTCATGGCCCTGCCTTCCCTGCCTCAGAAAAATGACATTATAACCAGCCAAATGTGATTACTAACCTTAATAAAAGACACCATCATCTCTCGTCTGGATTACTGCAGCAGGTTTCAAAGTTTCCAGTCCTGCCACCCTATGGTCTATCCTCCATAGAAACCTCATATGACCCTCTTTAATTAGATCTAATCAAACCATCCCTCTTCTCAATGCATTCCCATTGCACTTAGTATTAAATCCAAACTCCTAGCAAAGGCCTTAAGGCACAGCTCTCTCCAGCCTCATGTCATGACACTCTCTTCTTGCTTACTACCTCTGGCCAGTAGATCTTTTTGCTTTCTTAAAGACCTCAAGGTATTTCCATATGTTATTTTCGCTACATGGAATGTGCTGTCATTTCCTGACATAGTCATTCTCTCTACCGTTTACATGTTTATCTCATGCATTCATCTCATCTTTCAGGTCACAGTATTAAATGTTATTTCTAAGAAGAAATAGAGAGACCTCACTGTTTTTTATTTTATTTTATTTTAATCTGAAGTCGTTTCCAAACATTATTCTGTATGTTGGCACCCTGCTAATTTCCTTTAACATATAAGAATTTGTAATTATTTTTAATCGCATCTCCTGTCTATTTATATTTACATTGAATTTATTGTGTGTTACATTCAAGTTGCTTCTCCAGGTCCTTGAGCTCTACTTGGCACATAGTTAAAGGTCAATGATTATTTGTATAATGAATTAATGGGTAGATGAATGGATACATAAATGATTGAATAACACAGTATAGTTTCTTTTGTAATTTTTTTCCCTTTGGTATTAGTCTAAATATACTTTTCTATACAATTATATTCAATTACAATTATACTATACAATTATATATATACTATATATATGTTATATACTATACAATTATATTCTATCCTATAAATAAGTTTCACTTCAAAAACTTTCAGACAAGATCAGGCCCATTCAGAGTGGTATGGCCGTGAAGACACTTCAAAAAGTTTCAATGCCTAAAACTGACTCTAACATTTATCCTCCAAGCCACACTAAAGGCATACTTTGGGAGAAGCTTAAAAATCTCCTCAGCTTTTAGTGATATAATCAGTAGTAAGTTATAAGGTTAAAAATAGAAAAAAAGTATATTTATTAGAGATATTTCATATACATATTAGGCTTCCTTAAAATTTCCAAGGGAACACAATCATATGTGACTAAAGATTATTTTTCTTTTTTATAATACAATTTAAATTTACTGGTTTGGGATAATGTCTCACTTATATAAGACCAATGATTTTGTCATTGCAACTAGAAAAACTCACATAAATTACAAAAATGACACTTTCAAGGACATCAGAGAGCTATGTAAGTAGTGAGAATGAGATGAACTAAATTTCCAGAAAGTAGAGATCTTTTCTGAGGTAAGCCAAATATTTAATTCATTTCTTTTTCTCCTGCGAAAGTTTCTTAATTCTGGGTAAGAATTGAGGGTCAAGCACGGGTGAGGCAGAGCACCTCTCGGGTAGAAAGATAAATGAATATAATTTGGTTGGCCAGAGATGGAAAAATATAGTGAAAATTTGAGGGGCCCTAAAAATCCTGCTGAGATTTTTTTTCTCGTGAAACATTTGCTGAGCTTCTGCCCTGTGTAAAAAGCTGAGGAGATAGGATGAAGACTTCTTAAATGCAGAATTGCAATTTTCCCTTTCCTTTAAGAGCTTTGGGAACTTAGGGAAGAGTCCAGTGTTAAGCACCCAGCTGGTCTCACCCTCAAGACAGTTGATAGATTTTGAAGTTGCTTGGGCAGAAAGCTAGAACATGGAACTAGCAACTTCTGAAGGCTGAGCTGAATCTCCCTCTGTCTCTCAGAGCTGACAGGATGGGCACATATAGGCTCTACAAACATCATGGAGAAAGGCAGCCTAAGCAGATATAGTCTTATTAAAAGTGCAAAACAGCCCTGACCCAGATCAATTTCCGAATGAATTAAAGTATCAACTCCTCACTGTATTTGAATAGCTAAGGAAAGGAAGGATACTTTTTGGGATACATTAGCCAGTATGATTTGAAACCCATATGTTTATTTTATGCAATGTCTGACATTCAATAAAATATTACCGGATATGAAAAGTGGCCAGGAGATACGACAGACAAAAAGAAAAGCAAAGTAGACTCACAGATTATGCAGATCTTAGAGTTATAAATGTACTTTGGGAGGCTGAGGCAGGCAGATCATGAGGTCAGGAGTTCAAGACCAGCCCGGCCAACATGATGAAAACCCGTTTCTACTGAAAATACAAAAATTAGCCCGGCGTGGTGGCAGGCGCCTGTAATCCCAGCTACTCAGGAGGCTGAGGCAGGAGAATCGCTTGATCGCTTGAACCTGGGAGGCAGAGGTTGCAGTGAGCCGAGATCGCACCATTGCACTCTAGCCTGGGCAATAGAGTGAGACTCTGTCTAAAATAAATAAATAAATAAATAAATAAATAAATAAATAAATAAATAAATAACAAAATAGGTATTGTCCATTCTTTGGAGAACCCCAAAAGTGTTGTGATCTTAAAAACAGAAACAAAGTGTATTCTAGACTAGGAGTCAGTAAACTACAGCCTGCAGGCCAAATCCAACCCATTGCTTGTTTTTGTATAAGTTTTGCTGAAACACAGCCATGCCCATTTGTTATTTACTGTCTGTAGCTGTGCTCTTGTACTACAAAGCAGAGTTGAATAGTTGCAACATAAGCCATATGGCATGTAAAGTCTAAAGTATTTACTATCTTGTTCTTATAGAAGCAGTTCACCAGCCCTGTTCTAGACTTATAATACAATACATAAAGTCAATACAATTGAAAGTTTTACAGGCATAATGGAAAACTCATTAGGAACTTCTGAAATATGTTGTAAACTCTGACATATGAATTGCTTAGAAAAGAAAGATTTAAGTAACACCTCCCTTCCAAGTTTGTTTGTTTCCCATCAGCTTCAATAAATATGAGCTATTACTATTTGCTGTAAACACAGTGAACACATAATTTTATTCAAGACCACATGTTAAAAACTCCATAACTGTGGAGCTGAACTCAGATCTCAAAATTCTAACAGATAGGTTCTGAATAAAATAAAGAGACTTCTGCCCATTTTAGAGAGAGCAATACTCTAACTTTTCCTTGTTATTGTTGGGTTCTGCAATGATTATTTGAATTCCGTAAGTGAGTACTCACAACATTTTGGAGCGTGGTGACAAGAATTAAAAGGCAGTAAAATGCTATGTCTTGAGTACTAAGTTGTCCACATGATTTCATGAGAGGACCATGTAGTTAGAAATACATGTATATGGATGCAAAAATCAATGTTATAATTAGTAATAATAATAACAGTTACTGAATGTGTACTACGGTCTGGTAACAATCCTGTTTAATTGGTCTGGAGTGACTTTCTTATTGATTCAGGGTTAAGAACTTCCATGTGATAATAATGTTGTCAGGATTAAGAACTACTGATTTAGGTGCTCCCTGCTTTTCCATGACTTGTCACGTTCCAGCCTTATTATATTACATAGAATTTGCAGAACAGGTAACTCCTGTCTCACAGGCTCACTCACTCCCACCTAATTGGTGAATACTTGAAAATTAAATCCATCTGCTAGTTCCTATGACCAGCTGAACCTCGGCATTTGTTTACTGGTTTCTTAATTGCTCATTGAAGAAACAATAAGACAGGCATACTTTTTAGCTCAATACATATTTGTTGTAAACGAGACCTATGATGGTATTGTTTTGTTTTCTTCCCCCAAATAAGCTGAAGTAATAAAATGTGTTATCGTCTTTTAGGCAATGTGCTGAGCATTTGTGCAATCAGATGGTGACCAAAAAAGTGTGATATGTGAGGAGTTTTGTTGCATTAACTTGAGAGAAAGTAGGGAGAAAAAAGGAAAGCAAATATTCTCCTACTTTCTGTCTCTTTCTCTTTGTCTCAGTTTCTTTGTCTCTCTTGGTCTCTCTGTCTGTAGCTCCAGCTATCTGTTCTAATAAACTACCCATAAGAGTAGAGGAAAGTAGGAGAAATAAAGTCCTTAAATGGGATTCAAGTTCTTTAACATCTGTAAAAAATGTTAGGTAAAGATGACTAAATAATCACTCCAACATTTGTATTTGTTTGTTTAATGAAGATTTGAATCATAGAAACAGAGTTTTAAGGAACAATAACCTAAAAGGGGATATTTATACCTAACTCTTCATATTTCCCTATGGAAGAGCTTCCATTAGAGTAGTATCTTTAGCCTTTCTCCATCTTCATCACTCACTCATCTCCAGGGAAGGAGGAGTGATATACCTGTCCAATAAATTTAGGAGAAAGCATTGGTATGCTTGGATCAACTCCCTTTGCTTTAGATTTGTCTACCTACAGGGGCATACATTCTGCCAATTACACACAGCTTGTCTCCCCAGGTGTGTGTTTGTATGTATGTAAAAGAGAGGAAGAGGAGGAAGAGGAGAGAGAAGAGAGAGAGAAAGAGAATGTTGCCTGTGATTGTTCACATATACCAAAGACAAAATAAGTCTATTTGTTCAAGTGTAGGCTGGCCCACTGGACTACAATATTTAGTCATGTTCTCCAAATAGCTTATAAGTAATAAGAAATGATATTGTTAATTTATTTGACTCCTGTGCCTATTTTTCAAGAATTCTGCAATTATGTTTACTTTTTCTGGTATACAATTCAAAAAATACTCCAGAGTATCAAATGAAACATTAACATATTAAAAATTTAAACTTTCCAAGAATCTCACAACGTTTAGCACTTTGTTCTCATATTCTCAATTTTATTTAATTGGATAAGTGTATTTGTGTCTTTTTTAAAAAACAACATTGATATGATAGTGTCTAACTTTGCATCTTATAAGGCTTCCAAATAAACTTCATAAGTATTAACTAATTGAAATTGTTATACAATGGCCGAATAATTTCATAAAGTGATGTCACCAATCACTACACATTTCTAGGTATTTGGGGGCTGGAGAAATTGCACATGAAGGCTTATACTTGTTCCTTTCATGTGGTTAACATGCATAAACATTAAGTCTGGTGTATCACCTTCTCAGAACTCTCCAGCTGCTAGTATCCTTCTACTTATAAGAAAAGTAGCAAAGTCGTGCTTTACTCAAAAATCTTTGAAATATTTATTAATAGTATATGCTTAGTATTATGTTAGGACTATAGCAATGAAGATTTACAAAAAAAGAAAAAAACCAAATGTCCAACATGACAGATTAGTGATTTTATATCTTAAACTTATTGATGGCCCTTTTGTTTACCTCAACTGGTTTATAATTGAGAGTTCATAGAACATACACAACTAATGTTTATTAATGATAAAATTTCATTTCAAATTTAGGTGATTGCTATATATTTATAAAGTAGGTATACACATATATTGTAATCTATGTTTCAAATAGTTGGAAAACATAGAGCTCCCTATTTTAAATATTTTTCTACAGTAGATTATAATTAATTATTATTGAATGAACTTTTAGAATATAGAAGGGTAAGGAAATGAAATCTCTCAAGGATTAAATGTTGAAATGATAAACTCTACTAGAGGAGAAAAATGCACAGTCTCCAAACTAATTTAAGAATTTGAGGAAGTCTCAAATGTTCTATATCACAAATACTATCCAGTTTTGCTACTTAGACAAAGCATGACTTAGCAAAGCAACAGAATGAGTAAGCCTATGCAGAAATGTTGATCTCATTTCTGTTTCCAATTGAGTATGCAGAGTGTGGATGATGAGGCTGATGTGTGACATAAGCATTATTGAAAGCATACATTCATTCATTCTATACTTTACTGAACATGTAAAAAGATCATGCTCTTTAGGCAAGCCCTAGATTTGTGTATGTATGCATGTACAAATGTGTGTGTATATTTCATACATGTATTTAAGCATAATTCATATGCCAAAATATATGCAACATCTATCTTATCTCTATCATCTATCTGTGTATCTACCTACCTATCTATCTATGTATCTATCTACCTACCTACCTACCTATCCAACCATCTATCCATATCTAATTTATCTATACTTTTCTACAGGTACAGCTCAAATTAACAATATGTTGAGTTCCAAAATTTTATTCTTATTGAAACAATACTTTAAACTCAAAATCAATTTTCTGAACCCAGAAATATTAATGCCCATTGTTACACAACTCTTTCACAATGTATGATTATTCCACATATCTCATTTGTTCCATTCCAAAACTTCCACAGGTGCTAAGATGATGGAACCAATTCCATTTTGTAAATAGCAAGCTAAGACTTGAGTGTGATCATATGACTTTTCCTAAGAACATGTAAGCAGAAAATACTGCTCCCAGCAATAGAGTATAAGACAGATGATTTCATATCAAAAGTTCAGAAGGTTGAATGGCCTAAAGAAAAGAGATTAGGTTTTGGAACAATTGCGCCTAGGGCATACTTTTCACTCTTTACCTCACTGAAGTGACTGCTCCCCGACAGATATTCAGATTCTTTTTATGTAAACTGCGGCATGGACACCCATCTTGCAGATTCTTGTGAGGACTGGGATTCATTTATGAAAGTTTCCAGCCTAGTGCCTAGTACTATGTAGGAGCCGAATAAACAGAGGCAGCTTTTTACTATACAAGATCATGCACCTGATAATTGTACCCAAGTCAACAAGGGCATATTCATATTTGCTGTCAATTATTGACTGAATAATTTCAACAGGATTCACACTTTGAGATTTCATTTCTTCTATTTCACTGAGTGTATCTATCTTAATCCATTATCAGATGGCCTGCACTCAAGAATGAAACCCCATTTAAATGTTGCAGTACAAAACAGTACATTTGGAAAGTGAAAATTTTCTGCAACAAAAGTGATACTATTAATTCTTAGCAAATTTGTAAAGATTGCTCTGTTATTTACTTAATCCCTGTAATTATTCCCATTCATCACCACGACTGAACAAGAACTGAATATGGATATAATTAAACAAAGTCTAATGACTAAAATTAGAAAAAAAAATCCATTAAAATTTAATTTATACATTTTTACTTATACCTAATTTTGAAATATAATGGTCTGAGTTATTGACAGCTATTAATAAAAGAAGCTTTATATTTCATATTCTTACATTTTATATTATGAAGCTAAGCTATATGTTATATTCCCTCACTTATATATATTTTTGTCTCTAAATAGAAACAAAAAAAGACTATAAAAAATACATGTGTATATTTATATTTATATATCTGCATATAATATATAAATATAAAATCTTATTTATATTTCTATTTTTGAATTTATATCAATATAATGCATATTATATGATATATAAATATAAAACTTTATGTTTATGTGATAAATATAAAAAAATATATATTTTTCTATATTGTAAGTATATATTTACAACAGAAATAAGGCTGTATATAGCCAAATAATCATCAATTACTGCTATACACATATCTGTAGCAATGGCCCTTGAACAACACAGGTTTGAACTGTGCAGTCCACTTACATGCAGATTTTGTATTGCCTCTGCCACTCCTGAGCCTGCAAGACCAACCCCTCCTCTTTCTCCTTCTCAGCCTAAAGATAATGAGGATGAAGACTTTTATAATAATCCACTTCCACTATTCAAGCAAATATAATTTATCTTCTTTATGACTTTCTTAATAACATTTTCTTTTCTCTAGCTTACTTTATTGTAAAAATACAGTACAAAATATATGTAACATATGGAATATGTGTTAATAAACTGTTTTTGTTATCGGTGAGCCTTCCTTACTGGTCAAGAACAGGCTATTAGTAAATGTGAAGGGAGTCAAAAGTTACATATGGATTTTCGACTGCCCTGGGTGTTGGCGCCCCTAACGGCCACATTATTCAAGGGTCAACTGTATATAGATATACATAAGTATATATAATGACAGAAATAATTCTCCAGATAGTTAAATAATGATAAATTTAACTCCAAGTTTCATAAGGAAACATGCTGTACAGAATTTGACTTTCAGATTTTAAAAAAATGCTTTTCTTTTTCTGATAATGAAACAAATACTAATTCTATTAGTTGATAGGGGTTGTTATTGTATAAGCTATTTCTCCATCCACAAGCAAGAATACTCTTTAGGATTCTTACAAAAGTTATGTATATTTTTGAGTGACAGTAAGAACAGTAAAAGAAAATATAAGCACAACAAAACATAAAGGCATTTAAGTAAACATCACTCCTGCCAAGATTAAACTTCCCAGTTGGCTCATGTTCATATTTTGTTCTACACCCTACAGTGTTTATTCATGTATGGAGGCCCTGTTGACTGTCAGGATGAAATGACAACAGTCTGCAGTAATGACAATGACTTGTACTTGTAAAATACCAAGCAAAATGTAACTATGCTCAAAATATTCATGCATCATACTCTGTGAATAAGTCAATGATATGTGGGAAAAGAAGAGCTATTTTTTGGAAAATTTGGCCCATGTAATCTTTTGGGAGTAATTAAGTTTCTCTGGTGCAATAACACTGTCATTTATTTTAATGTCTTAATCTCAAACTGCAGTGAGAAATTTGATAGCTAAGTGACACAGCTTTATCACTGTCCAACTACTGCAAATTTAAATAATTTAATTTTAAAATGTATGATATTTTAAAATAAGTATTTAACACAGACTTAAGCCAACCATAATGCATATGTTTAACTTTTATAGGTAAAACTGAATAACAGATTTTGCTCAGGCCTTTCCCCCACTAGACAAAGGGTTCTTTCATTTAAATAGCAGGATCCATAAAAACCCAAGTCCTAGGAACAAAACAATTTAGCACTGACCTATAAAAATTAGCTTTCTATCACATTGCTTTCTCCTTCAGGCATTTCTTTTTTAGAGATGTTACTGATTTGATTGTACAGCAGAAGGTTAAATTCTCACACAGTGATCATTAGCAAAAAATAAACAGAGCAAGTACTAAAGCTGGCTTTGCACCTACTGAATGCTGCAAGTGTCTGTACTCATTTGATATGCATCTTGCAAAGCTCGGCTGTTCCCAGAAGGCCACTCCATGAAGACTGAGAGAGCAGCGTCTGCTAGTGGTGCCTGTGTGTCACAAAGAACAGAGAGAAGCTTTATAATAGGGATGTTTGAAGGCATCACACTTAGCTGGGAATCAGGCTAAAAATTAAGTTTGTACTTTTTTTCTTTAAAAAACATGCACATGAAATTGATATTTTGATTATTTTTATAATGCATATTAGTCACACTGAGAAACAATTACACCAGCAATATTTTCTATATCTCTTCATTGGCTTCATTTATGAAGCACTTTACTAAAATTGTTTCATTATTTGCTTATTGGACAGACTTATTTATGGATATAAGACAAAAACATGACTTCATAAACCAACACTGCATGCTGTTCTTGGATGGGGATTATCACTAGGGTTTGGGTGGGTCATCCTACTGTACCTGTGGCATTCAGGGGACATTGATTGAATGCCAAGTCGCCTGCTGGAGTTCTTTTCCACACCATCGACATCAGATAATCCTCAGGGCATATTTCATAAGGTGCTGCAATTTTAAACAAAGGGACTTGAATGTCAGTAGTGTTTAAAAAATTTTGGCAATAAACAATTGTCAAAGGCACCTCTCTAACTGCAGAGCTCTTTAGTTTTCTTTTTTTTTCTTTCTTTTTTTTAGAGATGGGGTCTCACTCTGTTGCCCAGGCTGGAGTGCACTGGCATGATCCTAGCTCACTGTGCAGCCGCAAACTACTGGGCTCAAGCCATCCTCCCTCCTTAGTCTCTTGAGTAACTAGGACTACAGACGTGTGTTGCCACATCTGGCCGATTTTTTGTTTTAATTCTACGTAGAGAAAGGGTCTCCTTATGTTGCCAGGCTCATCTTGAGCTTCTCCCAAAGTGCCAGGATTATAGAATTGAGCCACCATGCACAGGCTCTTTCATTTGCTTTAATGTATATTGTTTACTGAAATGTTAGTGGCATAAACATACATAAAAACCCATCAGATTTCCTTTTAGTATCTACAAAGTATTTACAGAATTGTAATTTCTTTTTGAACTGCTTACTGTGTAGACTATTTATAGAGGTCATTTGGATTTGCCTACAAGTTGAACATATTCAGGCATATCAATAAAAATATTTATAATATTTTAGGATGTTATACAAAAAAGTGACTTCCAACAAACAAAAAGGCACATTAAAATTATTAACTATTAAATGTTAAAAATAAATAAGCATAAAGAGTAAAAATACGTAACTTTTTACCTCTTCAACTAAAAGCAATGATAGCAG